>NC_000023.11:145081666-145384696 GCF_000001405.40 Homo sapiens
CTTTCTTTTGGACAGGGCTGCTCCCAAATAGTGGGTACCTACTTGCCTTACTTCTGCTTATTACTTTTGAAAGACAAATATAAATTTATCTTTATAAGAATGAAAACCCAAAGTCAAACAACAACCAAATAAACAAATACCCACATTTTCTTGGTGTACATAAAACAACTTTGCAATGAAATAAGCAACTAAATAGGCTTGTGGTTTTGAAAAATAAGATCTTCAAAATGATATTTTGCATCATTAAGAGTGTTTATTCATCATGAACCTGTCATCAGTTTGACCTTCCTCTTAACTGTGTTCGTTCTTCTATTTAAATTTATCCAAAAGAAAGTGAAAAAAATATCATTCGGCCTAACTGGTATGATCCATGGAAAATTCTGTTTTAAATTGGCTTTTAAGATTCTGGAATCATTTTTACTTTACTGTATAAAATGAGCACAGAGCTTTATTAATATAGAATGGTTGATCCTCAGAGATCATCTGGTGTCAACCCATTCATTTTTTCATGATGAGATGAAGACCTAGACAAGGTAAGCAATTGGCTCAACATCACCTACTCAATAAATGATAAGGCACAATCTGAATTCAGTTCTATCACCTGTTCTGAATTTTTTCTTATTAATACAGCACACTTAAAGACTATTTCCAAGTCTTTTTTTAACCATAGAAATTAAGCTCCACTGTTTTAAGATGAACATCAAACAGTTGAAAATGAACCACTAGTTAAGTTCCTCTTATAAAACTCATATTGAAAAAAGATACCCTTACTATAGAATATATGGGGAAAACATAATATATGAGAAATTTTCACACAATTAGTCATAGGCTTGGAAGTAGCATTGATAGCACTCTTTCCTGCTTATTCATACTTTGCAGTTCTAATGGGGACAGTGTAAATGTAGTACGTCTGTTTTGCTTGCCTTTTAAAATTTAAATGCCGCTTTCTCCCTAAACTGCTGAGATTGTCAAGGTGTATGGCCCTTTGCTTGCTTCACGGTCAAATAAACTTAAGCTTTCACGCACATAAAAGCATGCATTGCTTCAGCTTCCAAATCATTTCAGCAGATTTGGGTTGCTTTAAATCATTAGTTTTAATATTTAATGCAATGCATCATGATATCTTTGGTTAGTGAATTCATGAAGTCCCTATAGCCAGACATCTTAAAAACATTCAGTTACTATTTTTCAATAATTTATTACTTTTTCTTCCAAATAAATCAATCATTGATATTTTTATTATAAAATATTTCAAGCATAAAGACAAATACAAATAACATAGCACACAAGTATTCATCACTTAAAAATAAAAATGTTAATATTTAGCCATATTTACCTCTGGTTTAGAAATTGTGGTAAAATTAATATAACAAAATTTCTCATTTTATCCATTTTCATGTCTACAATTCAGCTGGAATAATTACATAGACAATGTGGTACAACCACCATCACTATCACTTTCCAAAACTTTCTCATTACCCCAAACGGACACTATACCCACTAAACAACAATTCTCCATTTACTCTTTTCCCAGCTCCAGATAACCTCTAATCTACTTTCTGTATTTGTGAGCTTACCTATTCTAGGTACCTCATGTAAATGGAGTCATGTAATATCTGTCCTTTTGTGTCTGGCTTAGTTCATTTAGCATATCTTCAAGATTACTTCATGTTGTAGCATATATTAGAATTTAATGCCTTTTATGGCTGAATAATATTCCATTATATGTATATGCCACTTTTGATTATACATTCATTTGTTGATGAACATCTGGGTTATATCCACATTTTGGCTGTTATAAATAATGCTGCAATGAACATTGACATACATATATATCGGTTTGAGTTCCTGTTTTCAATTAGGAGTAAAATTTGGGGTCATATGGTAATTCTATGTTTAACTTTTTGAAAAACCACCAAACTAATTTCCACAGCAGCCACACTATTCTCCATTCCCACTGTCAAGTTATAGGATTCCAATTTGTCTGCACTTTGCCAACATTAGCTTTAGTTTTTTTGTTATAGCCATCTTAGTAGATATGGACAGTTATATTATCATGGTTTTGACTTGCATATCTCTGATGATTATCAATGTTGAGCATATTTCCATATGCTTATTAGACGTGTGCATATCATCCTTGGAGAAATGTTTATTCAAGTCCTTTGCCCATTTTTAACTGAGTGGTTTGTCTTTGTACTGTTGAGTTGCCAGAATTTGCCTCAGGTTTTTTGAAAAATGAAATGTTGAAAGTCTAGTTAAAATCCTCTTTTTATGCCTAATTCCATATTCTCATTGCCTAAACACTTCCAGAAGTGACCACTATTTTAAAATGAGTGTATACTACTGCTGTCCATAAATTTATATTTGATTAAATATTTTCATGTTCATGACTAATATATTATTTTGTTTTAGAAATTATATAAAGACAGCATGAATCCCTCTGTACTTTTGTTTTATGACTTAATTTTATGTTTTGAGATCTGTGTTGACACATGTAGATCTACTTCCCTTATTTTAACTGGCATATGCTTATTAACGATTTATAAAGCCATTTAATACTAGAGGATACTTAGGTAATTTTAATTATTATTATTTTGTTATTATTAATGATTTATCAAGCCATTTTATACTAGGGGATATTTAGGTAATTTTAATAATTATTATTTTATTATTACTAACAATGTTGATTATGTTTATGTGTATGAAAATTACCAACAATGTAGAATCACACTTTTGTGTATAAGACATATGATAGTGCTAGCCAAACTGTTGTGTTTCAATCCCAGATCTTTGGTTTATTAGCTACGTATACCTGGACAAATTGTTTATTCTCTTTCTTCCTAGGTTTGCTATCTGTAACATGAAGTTATGACAGTGACTATCTTATGCAATTGTTGTGAAAGTAAGATAATTCATGTAAAGCACTCAGAAGAGTTATTGGCACAGAATCAGCCCTCAATAAATTTGTACATGTAGAGATATTCTCTATACCTAGAAGTAGAATTGAGTCATATGGTATGTGAATTTTCCACTTTACAAGACACTGTCATATTGCCCTTCAAAGTGGTAGCATGCCAGTTTATCTTCATATCAGAAGTGTGTGAGAGATCCAATTTCTCTACATCTGCTCAACTTAAAGTATAAGACCTTCTAGTTCTACCCATGTAATATAATTTGCACTGCTTTAATTTTCCAGGCTAATCATCTCTTCATAAATATATCACCAAATACAAAGCCCCATCCATGTTCCTGTCTCTAGTGCCTAATTATATCTTTCTTCATCATTTTCCTTTGTGTTGTTTGTTTTTCTTATTCATTAGAAGTTCTTTATATAATGTGGTTAGTAATCTTTATGGGTAATATGTTTCCACGTGTTTTTTTTTCCAAGTTAGTGGTTTAAGTTTTTATTTGTTCATATAGTGTTTTTAACTCATTGTACAAAGAGTTTTTATTTTCATGTAGTAGTCAACTTAACCAATATTTTCCTTGACTTTTTGTGTTTATTCTACTTAAAAATATCCTTCTATACCCTAAGGTTATAGACATAGTCTCTTACATTTTTATCTAATAGCTTTGAAATTTTTTTTTTACATTTTTATCTTTAATACGTCTGATATTTATCTTTCACTATGCTGTGAAATAGGAATATAATTTTTCCATAAGGGAAATCAATTGTCCCAGAATCATTTATTGATTACCTTGTTTCCCCAGGGATTTTTAATGCCATCTGTGTCATATGCCAAGTTCCCTAGTGTGCTTCCATTAGTTGTTCAGCTCTCTATTACTTTGGTCTGTCTATTCCTGCATCAGAAATACAATGTCTTAATTACTACCACTTTTTAATAAATTCTGATCTGTAGTTGGACTCCCTAGTCTTCTCAAAAATTGTATTGGATTTCATTATATTTTTTGTTTCATATTTTGATACGTGTTTAAAAAACATATTGCGCTTACTATGTAACAAGTTCTGTTCTATGTGATTTAAAAGCAGTAGCTCATTCGTTCCTCACAACTACCCTATTAGGTATTACTATTATCATCTGTACCTTATAGATGAAGAGACTGAAGCATCTGTCTCTGAATGAAAATTAAGATAATGATATCAATTCTACCTTTATTAATATATGAATCCAATGCAATTTTATTATATTTCTAATTGGATATTTCAGGCATAACAAAAAATTTACATGAGAGACAGCACAGCATAGTGATGAAGATCACAAACTCTAGAGCCAGTCTGACTGACTTCTGTGTAGATAACTGTATCATCTGTGAATGAGAATAAATACATATGGTAAATCAAGTGACACATTTTGAAGGCTGAATCAGGTGAAAGGCCTTAAATGGGAAGCTTCATCACAGTATCTTCAGGGTATTAGTGAGAGGTATTCAAGTCCTATTTTGTCAGACAGGATAGTACTTGAAGGCATTTTGCTTTATGTGAGAGGTGTAGTTTCTTTTCCTCCAGTAGGTTCTGGGTCATATATCTTATCCACATTTGTGTTACAGCCCTGTCTCCTTAGAGAAGCATATATGGAGCTTTGAAACCATTATGGACCACTGCACTATCAGCTCATGTTTAATGTGAAAGTTTTAATTCTCTTCTAATTTATAGTGTCTGGAGATATTTTTCTTTTTTGAACTTGCCTATATAATAAAATTTTTATTTTGATATAGTCTCATATTTCTTTGTGTTTCTAGTTAGAGTTTGACATGTTGCTGTATATTGATTTACTATTTAATCAGACAAAAACCTATAGATGTCTTATATAAAAGACTGCTTGGATATAAGGAGAATAAAGAATTTTTTGTATTATTTCTGTATTTCATGGATATTGAACTGGTAGCCAGTGGGATGCAAACAAGGCACACATGCTTTTCTTATTTAGTACAGTGTTTCTTGTAAAAATTGAATTGAACCTGATATAGTCAGGCTTTGTGTCCCCACCCAAATCTCATCTTGAATTACAATCCCCATAATCCCCACATGTCAAGGGAGAGACCAGGTGGAGGTAACTGGATCATGGGGGCAGTTTCCCCCATGCTGTTCTCCTGATAGTGAGTGATTTCTCATGAGGTCTGATGGCTTTTTAAGTGTTTGGTAGTCCCTCCTGCATTCATTCTCCCTCCTGCTGCCTTGTGAAAAAGGTGCTTTGCTTCCCCTTCACCTTTTATCATGATTATAAGTTTCCTGAAGCCTCCCCAGCCATTCTAAACTGTGAGTCAATTAAATCCCTTTTTCTTTATAAATTACCCAGTCTCGGGCAGATCTTTATAGCAGTGTGAAAACCAACTAATACAGTAAATTGGTACCAAAAATGTGGTGCTGTTGTAAAGATACCCAAAAATGTGGAAACGACTTTGTAACTGGGTAACAGGCAGAGATTGAAACAGTTTGGAGTGCTCAGAAGAAGACAGGAAAATGTGGGAAAGTTTGGAACTTCCTAGAGATTTGTTGAATGGCTTTGACCAAAATGCTGATAGTCATATGGACAATGAAGTTCCGCCTGAGGTTGTGTAAGATAGAGATGAGGAACTTCTTGGGAACTGGAAGAAAGGTGATACTTACTACGCTTTCACAAAAAGACTGGCAGCATTTTACCCCTGCCCTAGAGGTCTATGGAACTTTGTACTTGAGAGATTGGATTTATAGTACATGGCAGAATAATTTTCTAAGCAGCAAAGCATTCAGGAGCAAGCAGAGCATAAAAGTTTGAAAAATTTGCAGCCTGATGATGCAATAGAAAAGAAAAACCCATTTTTTTGGAGAGAAAATCAAGCACGCTTCAGAAATTTGCACAAGTAACACAGAGCCAAATGTTAATCAGCAAGAAAAAGGGAGAAATGTCTCCAGAGCATGTCAGAGGTCTTCACAGCAGCCCTTCCCATCACAGGTCTGGAGGCCTATGAGGAAAAAATAATTTTATGGGCTTTGCATCCTAGAACCTTGCTGTTTTGTGCAGTCTTGGGAGTTTGTGTCTTTCATCCCAGTCATGGCTAAGAGGGGCCAACATACAGCTCAGGCCATTGAAAGCCCTAAGACTTGGAGGCTTACACATAGCGTTCAGCCTGTGGGTGCAAAGAAGTCAATACTTGAGCTTTGGGAACTTCTGCCTAGATTTCAGTGGATGTATGGAAATTCCTCAATGTCCAGGCAGAAGTTTGCTGCAGGGGTGGACCCCCTCATGGAGAACCTCTCCTAGAGCAGTGAGAAAGGGAAATGTGGGTTTGGAGCCCCCACACAGAATCCCCACTGGGACACTGCCTGATGGAGCTGTGAGAAGACAGACATCATCCTTCAGACCCCATAATGGTAGATCCACTGACAGCTTCCACCGTGCACCTGGAAAAGCTACAGACACTCAATGCCAGCCATATAAGCAGCCAGAAGGGGCACTGTACCCAATGCCACAGGGTCAGAGCTTCCCAAGGCCACAGGATCCCACCTATTGCATCAGCATGACCTAGATGTGAGACAAGGAGTCAAAAGAGATTATTTTGGAACTTTAAGATTTAATGACTGCCCAGCCTAATTTTGGACTTGCATGAAACCTGTAGCCCCTTTGCTTTGGCTGATTTCTCCCATTTGAATGAGAACATTTACCCAATTCCTGTATCTCCATTGTATCTAGTAAGTAACTAACTTGCTTTTGATTTTACAGGCTCCTAGGCAGAAGGGACTTGCCTTGTCTCAGATGAGACTTTGGACTTGAACTTTTGGGTTAATGCTGGAATGAATTAAGACTTTGGAGGACTGTTGGGAAGGCATGGTTGGTTTTGAAATGTGAAAGGGACATGAGATTTGGGAGGGGTCAGGAGTGGAATGATATGGTTAGGCTTTGTGTCCCCACCCAAACATCACCTGGAATTGTAATCCCCATAATCCCCATGTGTCAAGGGAGAGAACAGGTGGAGGTAATTGAATCATGGAGGTGGTTTTCCCCATGCTGTTCTTGTGATAGTGAGTTCTCAAGAGATCTGATGGTTTTATAAGTGTTTGGTAGTTCCTCCTGTGTGCATTCTCCTTCCTGCTGCCTTATGAAGAAGGTGTCTTGCTTCCCCCTCACCTTCCGCCGCCATGATTGTGAATGTCCTGAGGCCTCCTCAGCCATCCTGAACTGTGAATCAATTAAACTTCTTTCCTTTATAAATTACCCAGTCTTGGGTAGTTCTTTATAACAGTGTGAAAACAGGCTAATACAGAACCTTTAGTTGGGTTAACCGTCTTCAGGTCTCCAATGCCCTGAAGATGTTTTAGTTCATAATGCCTGTCAATATATTTAAAACTGGGCTTTTGAGATCTAACCCATCTTTGTAATATTATTTTCTGGAAATTACTGAATATTTATTGTACACTGATAAGTGCATGTCAAATCTTTTAAAATACGTATCTCTTTTCATTGTAATCAAAACCTTTTAAGGTAGGTATTGTTTTGTCATTTCATGTGATATATAAATAAGCTAAGTTTCAAGAAGGTTGAACCATTGACCCAATGCTATGGAAATAATACAAAATGGAGCTATACATAATAGTTGTAAATAATAGTTTATCATAAGGCTTGAAGTCAGATCTGACTCTAAAATTTGTATTATTTTTAATAAACCACCTTATAATGTGAATTTTAAACTTCTTTATATTTTCATTTTATTTTTAAACCACCCAGGATCTGTCATCAGTATGGTTTTTAACTGGAGTAAGAAGACATTTTTTTTCTCCATTATGTCTTTCACCAAATTCATGAAGTAATTTTATAATTGAAGTTGATTAAATTCAGAAGCTATACACCTGGTGGTCTTTGATATATAGAATTTAATCTCTCCTCCCATAAGCTAAGTGAATAGATTAAATGCAAATAATATTTCTGGATGTCTACAATGTATACTCAATAGTCAAGATTTTATAGTTTAATTTTATAGTTAAATCCACGGTCCAGTCCTCCCAAATCACCGTTGGGTTTGTTTGTGTTTGAGATCTGCCAGAATCACTCTGTGAGGCTAAGGTACGAAGGCCCTGGGGAGTGGTCCTCAAAGGAAAGCTTTGTCCTTTCATTGCTGAGCTAAATTCCTTCTGCAAAGTCAAACAGAAGTGCTGGAGGAAAAGAATACAGAGCAGCAAGATGGATGAAAAATACCTTTCAGTTAAGTTTTTGCCTTTTCTGAAACTTCAAGTGAAATAACTTTGTACAATTTTTAGAAACACATGACACTTAAAGTGTATTTTTAATTAAAGAACAGAACTACACAAAGAAAAGGATGCCAAAATTAATTTAAGTTTTAGACAGAGAAGAGGAAAAAACTTCTAATCTGAAAATAATGCAAAATGAAAGAGATCCTATTTTTTCAAATGAACATTAAGGAAAATAAAATGAATTTAATCAAGAATATGGTACAATGATTTGATGGTAAATAGATTCATGACTGAAGTATAGGTCTAAATATAGTCTCTTGTGTATGCTATCTGTGACCTTGAGATAGTTTTAGAAACCTCAGTTTATTCAGCTCTTATTCAATGGTATAGTAACACCAGCATCAATTGCAAAGGATTCTTATAAGGACAAAATTTGATAATATGTGTATGGTTCATTTTTTTTACTCCATATTAAGCAATTGATAAATGCTTTTTTTATTCTCTTTTATCCCAGTGAAAACAAATAGGACAGCATGATATAGTTGACAGAACAACTGATTTGAATTTAGAAGAACTGGTTATCTATAAAATTGTGTATTGGCTCATTTGGCCCTTTTCCAGATCATAGACCTAGCAAGTGTCAGACCCATACACAGGTTTGACACACAATCTGGGTTCTATTTTTACTCAAAACTTGCCATTTTATGGGATCCCTTGGGACTTCCACAAAAAAGAAAGGGTACCATGTAAATTCTAACCCTGCCCTACCCCCTTCCCACCCAACAACAACAAAATGAGAAGATGAAATACTTTAGGACAGACTACAGTAGTAGCTTAGTATTTTTTAACACTATAATCTTTGCTATTTAGTAAGTGTGGTTAAGGGTCATGAAATTGTATGATTTTTTTTTTTTAATGAGCATCCATCCATACCTGGCTTCTGTTGCTCAAAGAATAGGTTATAGGTACAATAATTTGAAGGTCTTCAATTACAAGATAGCAAACAAACCTTGGAGTTTTGTGACCTGACTGTTGTATGACCACAAGCCAGTCACTTGACCATTTGACTTCTATCATACTTATGTATCACTCCAAAAGAAATCACCTCAAACTTTGCAGCACACTACAGCAATTATTATTACTATTTCACACAATGATGGGGAGTTACTGTACTCAGCTAGATGGTTCTTGCTTGGGATCTCTACACGATTGCAGTCAGATGGTGAGCAAGACTTGATTCATGTTGAAGGCTTCTTTCCTCATATGTGTAGCAGTTAATTCAGGCTGTTGGCTGAGACCACAGAGGCACCTGTCAGCTGAAACACCTACAGGTGGTTTCTCCACATGGTGGAGGCTTCTTCATAGTATGTCAGCAAAGTGCCAAGGGTAAGCATCCTGAGGGGGACAGGGATAACATAAGAGACCACTAGGTGGAGGTTGTATCAACTTTTATGGCTGTCTGGGAAATTACACTGTATCACTTCTGACATACTTTATCAGACCCAGCAGTTAGAAAAAGCTCACTGAGTTTCATGGAAAAGGGTCATAGTTTTCACTTTTTGATGGAAGAGAGGCAAGGTCCTCTGAATTACACTGAACCTAACAGTAAATACCACTTACACACTCACACATATATACCAGCACAGGAAGACAGTCAATGGACTCGACCTGACAATAGATATATAGTGAACAAAAGTACCTTGTATGCCTATATACCTGGTTTATTTTAATGCCCTCTAGGTAATGGTAAGTTTTCAATCTTTTTTGGCACATTAATTTCAAAGGCTATGCTTCATTTTTCTTCACTGAAGGTACAAAAGCAGTGTTTACCCAGATGTCTCAGACAAAACAAATGAGAACGTGTTCATTTGTAACTGTCAAATTAATTGCAAATTATTTTTCATTCAAATGAGAACAAAAACATCTCCTAATGAGAGTTAAGATTGGCTACATAGCAAATTCATGAAGAAAAGAGGCAAGAGTGGATTAAATGAACCAAGTGCCCCGTTATGACACATTTAGCAAGAAAATAGGTGACTTGGCTTCATATTCTTTCTCAGGGAGAAAAATTATTTAAAATAAATCATCCAAAAAATAAATAATAAGTCTGTACAAAAATCTTAGAAATGATAAATGATACTTCATGAAGGACCGATCTTTTCTTCTTATCGATCTGTTTTCTTTTTATATATGATAAGAAGAAAGATTCTTTATCTTGATTTGAGTTCACATTTTCATGTTATACCGTATAAGACAATCACTGTGTTGAGCTGATATGGTTGCCTAAACTGATGTTTTCAAGTTTTTGTAAATAGAAACTCATTAACCAAATCAACTGACAGTCCAGAAGATCTAAGTAATTTTCACTAATAATTTCATTGTTGGAATTTTTTCAGTTAGGATATACTAAATTATACTGCAGTAAAATAAGCAATCTCACAAATATCAGAAATTTAAAATGAGAAATATTTATTTTAAACTCATGTAATATGTCCACGGTAGGATAGCTGGGTTCCATATACATTTTAGTTGCTCAGAGATTTAGGCAAAGAGAATAGCCACCATCTCAAACTTTGCTGGTTGCTGTGCCAGATGGAATAGGTGGCTTTGGAGGGTCTTGCACTTCCAAAGAAGAATCAGCTTCATTGGCCAGATCAAGTCAGTCCCATCCAACTCCACCAGAGCCCAGAAATGGCTCTGTGTACTCAGAATGGGGAAGAACTTGAAATATTTGGTGGATATAATTAATGACTACCACATAATTTAATGAATAAACTCAAAGACATTAGATTAAAAAGCTAACAAAAAAACATAACAGAGTCAAAATGGGGAAGAACTCGAAATATTTGGTGAATATGATTAATGACTACTACATAATTTAATGAATAAACTCAAAGACATTAGATAAAAGAGCTAAGAAAAACGTAACAGAGATGAATAACTGAAGCAGAGAAATAGAAGGGAAGTCCTAGGTAACTTCTTTGAATGGAAGATTCTCTCTCATCCAAAAATCTTGGCAGTATATAATTGGGTATGTGTTCTTTATAGCTTCGGTAGGATAGATATATTTGAAGTGCGAGTAACGGAACAAGATAAGCATCTAAAGCACAAATGGCCAGTAGGAAGTCACTCAGTCCTATAGGCCCATAGGGTACCTCACCATAATAAAAGTAATGCTGTGACGATGTCATAGTCAAGAAAAGATAAGCCATTCTATTTTTACTGCAGAACTACTTTTTCAACATTTAAGATTTTCATATTAAATTAGTTTTGAGCCCATTATCAGATAATACTTCTTGTTTTGGACTTAAGCACAGAGAACTGGGGTATTTTTGTCATTATTGGACACAGCAAGGCTCCTCTTCTGTTTTATTTATTTTTCCATCTTATCTGCACTTGTGTTTCCCCATTCCCTTCATGTCATAGCGAGCCATTATAATCTGTTTAATACATATCTTTTTGTTACATTATTTTATAAAATGCATACATTGTTCTTTGTTCATACATTTTGAATTTATAAAAGTGATATTGTGCTATACCTCATACAATTTCTTTTTTTTTATTCAGTGATGTATTTTAATGAACCATCCTTGTTGCTCTATTTATATCTAGTTTAATAGCTGTAACTACTGCATAGTATTACAGGTCTTCAGGTACCACCTCTTCTTTATCCACTTGCCCAACAATAAATAGTGAGATTGCCTCCAAATCCCACCCTCTAAAATAACACTGTGATATACAGCTTTGCATATGTCTCCTTATGGAACTACGTAAGAATTTTTTGATACACACATACACAAACACACACAAAGAGGACTGAAATTCTAGATCAAAGGGGATATATATACTTAATTTGACTAATTTCAGATTTTTCTCTAAATATATATGTGTGTGTACTCACACGTATATGAAAGTATACAGCATATTAAAAGTAATGTTTTAGAAGCAGTATAGTCAATGTGGGGGCTAGAGTCATTTTTGCCACCATTCGAGTTCCCATCCTGTTTCTACAAATCATTGCTTGCATGACATTGGGAAGTTACTTAGTCTGAGACTCAGTTTTCTCATTTGTAAAATGTAACCATACCCAGCAGATACAGTGGTTGAAAGGGTATAAAGGACGGCTTAGCAGAGTCTCTGGACCATAACAAGCGCTCAATACTAGCTCTGATGATGATTATTGTTCTTATTCCTACATATTGACAAAGTTCTTATTATGGTGCTAATTATGATACTATGTATCTGCTTCAACTCCAGAAACCTTATGTGATCTCTTGTCCCTGCCAGCTACATAGAAGTTGGGTAATGCAGAGAATACAGAACCTCTTCCAAACGCTTTGGACTATCTGGGCTTGCTTGCAGTGGGAAGGGCTTTATAGATTTGCATACTTTTAAGTTGGGAAAATAATATATTCTATTATAGGCTTGACTGGGAAGATGTTTCCCCAACCACCTAAAGGCCCTGTTATCTATGGACTTTCCTAATCTTTTACTAAAAGTACCCTAGACTGAGAAAATTTAAATAAAGAAATGACTTCTTGAGATAAAATGATGTATCACCTTGAAGCTATAAGACTCTGTTAAAGGCATTCCACCATTGGGCTAAGGTTATACTTCCTGCAGGAACAATGCATTACATAGAATCCTAGCTCCTATTCCAGTGCTAGGAACAATGAAGTTAACCAATAAATGTCAGACAACCAAATACTGATGAGTGAAGGACTGAATTCACCTATAATAACTACAATGCTAAAAACTGACTGGGTCACTGAGGACAATTAATATTCAATTGTACATAGAGATCTCATATCTATTCTCTCTTATTTAAAGTGTTTACTCTCAAGACCATAGAGCACGTGGCTAAGGTGCACATTCTAGAATAGTAGTTCTCAACTGGGGGAGATTTTGCTCACCAGGAACATTTGAAAGAGGAGTATTTTGTCCCATTTTCCCCTTCCTCATTGTCAAACAGCCCCAGTCTTCCTTGTCTCTGCTAAGAGAGTAGAGGTATGATGATCTGTCCGTCAACTGCCCTAAGTCCTAGCTAAGTATCAGAGAGAGAAAAAAAAAAAAAAAAAAAAAAAAAAGCCTAACAAATGGGATTAGACGAGGGCTGCAAGTACTGAGGATTTTGTTGATACCTCTCCTGGGATGTGTTGTGCTTTCCCATATCTTGCCTTCAGGAATTACACTGTGCCTTTTCCCCAGGGATATGGGCTCTGTCTACCCAGTGCTGCAGTTTCCCGGTAACTACTCTGGAACATTGTGGACAAGGGCAGGTCTTCATATTTCTGATCATCCCTTTCTCCCAGTGAAATCCCATAGCCCTTACCTAGAATCTAGGGCACAAAGACTTTGGGGAAGATACACTGAGATTGACCTGAGGAGACATCTACACACACCAGTGGCAGCTGCCTCAGGGCCTGCTTCCTCTTCCTAAGTCTGTCATCCTCTGGAAGGGAGAGGTGGTGCTCCAATCTCTGGTGCCTAAAAACTCAAGTTTATTTCTCTCTTAACACTGGCAATAACCAGTCCACACCACTGTTGCCTTTTAAAACCTCTTAATAATCTCATGCTGTGTTTGTTGTTGATTCCAATCCAATTATCACCAGGGTTGTGTGGGTAAATGCTTTTAAATGCTCTCTCATCTTGCTCTTCCCCCTCACCCCCCACTCTTAGGTATGTATGATGCTAATCTTGTCCCTAAGTAAGTTTCTTCCTGCTCCTTTTGTATCTTCCTTTCTTGTCTTTCCTCCTACCTTTTGTCTCTTGGTGTTTTGGGACTTTTTTTTTTTTTGGCCTTTTGTACAACGATTAGTTTCAATGTAGTCTGTAGCCTCCTTTGTAAACCAATTAAAAAGTTTTTAATTAAAAAAAAAAAAGAAAGAAATGTCTGGTGACATGTTTGTTTGCCCCAGCTAGGAAGATGCCACTGGAATCTAGTGGGCAGAGGCCAGGGAGGCTGCTCAACATTCAATGATGCACAGAACACCCCTACCCTCATGAAAGAATTTTGTCACCTAAAATGTCAGTCATGTCCAATTTGAAAACCTCTGTTCTAGAGCCTAAGATTCCTTGGTTTGAATTCCAGTTCTATTACTTATGATCTGTGTGACCTTAGGTGGTTACTCAACTTTCTTCATCTACACAATTAGGTTTATTTTTGTTGTTATTAGGAACGCAAGTAAATTCTCATAATGCATTTTATATCTGGCATATTGATGGTGCTCAGTGAATACTTGCCTCTATAATTATTATTATTAAAGTAACTCAAGTATACAAATAATCTCTTGAAGCCCATTTAACAAATATATTACTTTCAAGACTATTACATTAAATGGCAAAACCGCAGTTACTTTTGCACCAACCTAAATATGTTAAATAGATGCGTAATATGTTAACTACTAGGTGGGAATGATAAAATATTATTACACCTTTTATTTGTTATCCTAAGCTATACACGAATGTTTTTCATGTTACACTGTCAATATTTCCAAGGACTTTTCTATTCTTGTTCTCAAAAAGAAGAAACAAGCTTAATATGTCAAACAAAAATAAGAACAGATTAAAACACAGCCCAGATGCACTAGAAAACTTCCTGGTGAAAGGATCAAAGTCTCCCATTAGCTTTCTGGGCAAAAAGGATCTTTTTTTTTTCACGCAAATAGATACATAGAAAATTTTTTAAGTGGTTAAATATATGTGCCAGCCATATATGAATTATATAAAGCTAAGATAGAAATGTTAATATATGACAAATTATAATTCAAGCCAAAAAATCACAACAAATACAGAAAGATACAATACATTGATAAAAGATAAAATTAAGCAAGAAGACCATCAGGAACATGTATGGACCTAACAATACTATTTCATCATAGAGTTATGGCCTTTTTATAAAGAATTATATATAAAAATATATGGAACTTTTAAAGACCCTTTCTCAGACACTGAGAGATCAAGCAGGAAAAAGAAAAGAAAAGCAGAGATCCTTTCTGAAACACTGAAAGATCAAACAGGAAGAAAAAAAAGAAAAACAGAGATAGTGAAGTTATAAAAAATGCAATTGCATTTGTTACAAAAGGCAGTATCAGTAACAATATCAGCAGCATGAATAGGAGGGCAGACTCTTGAATTGCTGCTAAGCAGTAGGCACTTCCACCAGGTTAGTGGGGAATATGGGTTGTAGGTTCCAGACCACATGCAATAGCATCTTCTTGAAATGTGGGAAACCCTCTCCTTATCGCCTTTATTCTTTTAGTCTTTTCAACACTTTTGTAACTAATTCATTGCTTTTAATCTCTGATTGATATATCTACAGTGGTTTTCCTGACTATATACCCTGATTAATAACATATAGATCACTTATATCTACGTACCGTAGGCCAAACTCAGCCCTCAACATGTCTGAAGAAAAGGCTAGGAAATACAGTCTTCTTTCTTTGATTCCAGGAAGTAGAAATGGTACAATAAACATATAATATTGACTCTGTCACAGTCTGGCCTTCTCATCATGAAACTTTAATTTTTATGTTTACATATAGGAAACACTCATTCCCTTTCCATAGAAGACAATCTGAAAATCAATCTATAATTGCATGTGGCCCAAGGGCTAGGATGTGGCTCCTCTGATTCCAAGGACCTATGCACTAAAAAGACAAATTCTCTGCTATGGCTCCTTGTACACCCAGTTTACAATGATGAGGCAGGATTTGGAGCAGAAGAGCTGCAATTAACCCCGCCCCATTCAAACAATGTGAAATGGGAGACACAAAGAAGTTAACGATTGTCAATAGAACTTCTAGAAGACTGCTGAAAAATACGGTGAAGGGCTCTTATCTCGGTGAAGGGCTCTTATCTCGGGGCTAAAAAGATTACTTGCATACAGCCCAATTCTGTTCTCTGGAAGGACTTCTTGGTATCTGGATCCACCTTCTGAGAGGTTCTTTTTATAATTTTGTTTATCTTTTTTGTCTGCCCATGCCTAAAGAAGATATTGGGGAATATGCTGAAACTGCACAACCTTCTCAGCAAATTTGTCAATTCTGCACAGTTGGAGGTTGAAGGATTCTTTTGAATCTTGAACTATCAAAAGACTTTTTGTCCAGAATTGTGCTTTCCTTTCTGGGCAATGCAATTCTCTCAGAAACGTAGCAGGCTTCTGACCTATTTGTTTTTAGCCAGTTCTATGTGGCAGTAACTGCATGCAGTGTTCTATTTATAGACATATTTCATTAATATGCTTTACTTCTCTGCTTTTTCATGTGCATGTCCAGCTTCTTCACCTTAGCAAATAAAAATACAGGACAGCCAGTTAAATTTGAATTTCAGATAAACAATGATTTTTTAAAAATGTATATACCATGCAACATTTGGACCATACTTCTCCTAAACAAATTTGTTATTTATCTAAAATTCAAATTTAACTGGGCCTCCTGTATAGTATCTGACAACCATATATATATAAAAACATGACCTCAAAAGTGGCCTATCCAGTAAAAAGGAAATAAAGGAAATATGGCATAGGAAGTTTCATTGCCAGGATTAAAAATATCCTATATATTTTCTGCTTTAAAAAAATCACCATCTTGAAGTCACTCACATGTACCCAAGCCAACTTCACAGAGATCTGATGAAATTCATTCTTCCTGTGTCCTAAAAGTAGAAATGGCATGACAAAAATGTAACATCATTTTTATATAAACATAATTGGGTCTCGGTTATTAGATATATAGACAACTCTACACACATTGAATAGTTGATGCACATTATTTTTAAGCACACATGAATTATTAATAAAATATGCCATATATGAAGCTGTAAAGTCGTCCTACACACATTTAGAAGAATCAATAGCTCATAAACCATATTCTCCAACCTGCGCAATCAAATTAGATATTTAATAACAAAATACATCTTAAAAAGAATATCACATATGAAAAGAAGAAAGATTCAAAGCAAAAATGTGAGAGTGAAAAGGCAAACCGTGCATTTGGAGAAAATATCTGCAAATATATAAGTAATAAAGAGTGTGTATATATATTCCCACAAATAAATAAGAAATATACAACCCAGTTGAAAAATGGAAAAAACACATTTTTAAAAAAAGGATATCCAGGTGGCCAATAAACATATGAAAAAGTGCTCAACCTAATCGGTAATCAGAAAAATGGAAATGAAATCCATAATAAGATAGCACTTTAGGCATACATATATGAATTTTTACAGTTTGAAAGAATTAATATACTAAGTATTTATAAGGTGCAATTGGGACATAAACATTCCTGGTAGACGTGTAAATTGTTAATACTTTAGAAAATGATTTTGGTTGTATCTACAAAGCCAAACATACATATACTTTATGAAATATGAATTCCACTCCCAGGAATAGATCCAAGAGACCTACACACAATTGCCAAGGCTGTTCACAACAGCAGTATTCATAATAACCAAAAGCTAGAAATAACCCAAATGTCCATGAACTATATATGATTAAATAAATTGTGCTACATCAATGCAATGGAATATTACAAGACAATGAGAATGAATAAACCATTGTTACGTGCAGTGGTATAGATGATTCACACCAGCAATGCTGAGAGAAAGAAACCAGAAACAAAATAGTACAGAGGACATGATTCATTCAAATAAAGCTCCCCTAATAGCTCAAAACTAATCTCATAGCGACAGAGTTACAATAGAGTTTTCCTTCGGGGTACACAGGGCTAGAGATGAGCATGGAGGAGCTTCGTGATGCTGATAAAGTATTTCTCAATCTGGATTCTGTTCATGTTGGTTCATACAATGTGAAAATTGAGTAAGAACTATTTTTATGATTTGTATATTTTTGTTATACTTCAATAAAAATTTTATTTAAAAAACTGTATAATTCTGGCAAATAATATCAGTGGATGCTAAAATTATTAGGTGAAATATTTTGAGGGGCAAGGATATATTAATGCAATTTCAAAGTAACACTTCACAGATTGTACATTAATTACAAAGGGGAAATGTTACCTTAGTAAACGAGGAAATACGACAATTCCCACTTAAACCAAGTGGTTAGTCAGTGCGAATTATGAAGTGACAGACTGGTGTTAGGCACCTCCTGACATAATGTAATGTAACACAACGGAAAATATACAACATCATTTATGTAATGTTCTTGACAGTAATTCTTAACCTGTATCGCATCATGAGGAAAAATCAGACAAATCCATATTGTGGACAGTCTTCAGTACAACTGGACTGGACTCAGAAAAATGTCAGTGTCATGAAAGGCAAAACAGGTAGAAACTGTCCTATAATAAGAAATACTAAAGAGATGTGACAGCCCTTGCACAACTTGTGATCTTTGGATTCTGGACCAACAGACAAAAGAGCTACAGAGAAAACTTGGGGGACAACCGGGGAAATTTGAATACAAATCATGCACTTGTTAATAGTATTGTATCAATGTTAAATGTTTTACATGAACATGATCATGCTTCATTATTGTGTAGGAGAATGTTCTTGTTCTTATGAGATATATTTTGAAGTTTTGGGGGCAAAACAATTTTCACTAGTTCAGCAAAGTTAAAAACCTCTTCTTCTCTCTTCTCCCTCCCTCCCTCCCTCTCTCTCTGTCAAATGTTCAAAAATGTATGTTAGTACTTGGTGAAGCTTCATGAAAGTGATGTTTGTTCTACTATTATTTAAGCTTTTCAGTAGGTTTGAAATTTTTCAAAATAAGAAGTTGAGAGAGAAAATATTTCTCCAATTGAGAAAAAACAATATGCACAGTATACCTCACTATACCATCGTATTTCAATTTATAATTATATTTATATATGACTATATATATGTTACCCATACAAGGTGGAAACACATTACATTATTAACAATATTTACTCATGGGCAGTAAGCTTATGGGTCACTTAAATTTTCTATGATTATTGTCTTTTTAAATAATAAGCATGTATTACTTTGCAAATTGAATAAAAAGAAATTTTTTAAAAAATCAACTGAGCATTCGATCCAGGTAACTGGAAAAAAAGAGCAATAGTGCAAACTCACATGAAGACAATTTTTAAAATAATAAAGATAAAGGCAGAAATTAATGATAGACAAATACAAATGCTAGAGAATATTAATAGAAGAGAAAGCTGGTTCTCTGAAAACATTAACTAAAAGGACAGATGTTTTAGCAAGTCTGATTTCTACCAAAAAGTGAAAAAATATAGATAAATAAGTATGTAAAAGAGAAAACAAGCACAAAAATACACATTTAAAATAAATGATATGAAACATAGAGGAAATGTATAAATCATTAGAAAACATAAAACACTAATATTGATGGAAGAGGAAATAAAAAATTAAGTAGATGAACATCCTTTAAATGAGTTGAAATGGTAGTCAAAACCCCCCCTAGGGAAAATATAATAATAATAATGTCTAACAGGATATATACAGGAAATCTCTGTACCCTGTGCTTGATTTTGCTGTAAACCTGGAACTCCTGTAAAAAATAAAGTGTCTTAAAAACATAATGCCCATGTTAACAGTGAGATAATTTTACAGGTGAATTATGCTGAAGGATAAAACAACCGTTACTTCTAATCATATGCATAATGTTCTAGGGAACAGAAATCACGTCAAAGCTGCCAAAAAAACTTTACCTGGTAACCCTAATGTTGATTATAAAACCAGATGACAATAAAATAAAAATATACATACTTTTCAGTCATGAATCCAGATGCAAAGATCCTAAATAAAATATGAGCTGAAAAAATCCACAGTGCAAGATGAGTACAATGCATGATTAATAAGTAGGATTTTTACCTGGGAATATAATTATATATTAATATAACAAATAACTACGATTTAAAATATCAATAGACTGAAGAAAAAAGTCATATGTTGATGTCTGTGCAAATAGGTTGAAAACGTATCGATGATATCTCTTCTTCCACAAGTGTGCCAATTATTCTTAGGTTTGGTTGTTTAACATAATCCCAGACTTCTTGAAGGCTTTGTTCGTATTTTCTTATTCTTTTTTCTTTGTCTTTGTTGGATTGGGTTAATTTGACAACCTTGTCTTCGAGCACTGAAGTTCTTTCTTTTGATTGTTCGATTCTATTGCTGAGGCTTTGCAGAGCATTTTGCATTTCTATAAGTGTGTCCATTGTTTCCTGAAGTTTTCATTTGTTATTTATGTTATCTATTTCACTGAATATTTCTCCCTTCACTTCTTGTATCATTTTTTTTTATTTCCTTACACTGGGCTTTGCCTTTCTCTGGTGCCTCCCTGATTAGCTTATTAACTAGCCTTCTGAACTCTTGTTCAGGTAAATGAGGGATTTCTTCTAGGTTTGGATCCATTGCTGGTGAGCTAGTGTGATTTTTTTAGGGGTGTTAAAAAACCTTGTTTTGTCATATTACCAGAGTCGTTTTTCTGGTTCCTTCTCATTTGTGTAGGCTCTGTCAGAGGGAAGGTCTAGGATTCAGGGCTGTTTTTCAGATTCCTTTGTCCCACGGGATGTTTCCTTGATGTAGTGCTCTCCTCCTTTTCCTAGGGATGTGGCTTCCTGAGAGCCGAGCTGATAAAAACAAAATTCTTAACAATGTGTGAAATTGTAGAAACCTCCCTAACTTTGTAAAAATTACATGCCAAAAACCTAGAGTAAACATCACTTAAATGAAAAAATATTATAGTAACATCTTGCAAAACTATAGTACAATATCACAACCAGGAAATCAACATTGGTAAAATCCAATGACCTTATTCAAATTTCACCACTTTTATATGCATTCGTGTGTGTTTTTGTGTGTCTTTTTAGTTCTGCGCAATTTATATGATCAGGGAGAAAACACATGTTCACAAGTACTAGTGTTTAACATATCATATGAAATAATTGCCAATTCTGTAAGGAAATAAATCAAATGAAAGATATAATTGAGGAAAACATGTGTGAGTTTCAGCTGTCAATGAATAGCCTTGCATATTAAGTGCAAAACTCACTTCATTTCTTAGGCAAAAATTTTAACTATAACTTTTTTTACCTTTTAATTTAAATTGGTTGCATGATAAACTATTTTCAAGACACTAAAAACAGTATTTTAGTATAAGGAAATGTTCCTTCATCAAGTAAATGGTTTTCATAATGTAAAAAAAAATTGAAGAACAACTGTCAAAAATTTCCATCTGATATGTTCATCTACTCAGAAATAAATATGAAAATTAACATACAAGATATACTAGATGTAAGATTACAGTTTAATAAAATGAAACCTCTGCATTGTTTTAATTCACTTCTTAATGGAGAAAGACAGTAATTGTATTTCCCATGGTGATAAGTGCTATAAAAAAGAAACAGATTAAGGGGGTATGGAAAAATGGCGAGTGATCCCTATTTACATAGGATGGCCTGAGAAGGTGATATTTCAAAAGAGACTTGAGGAAGGTGCAGATTTGGGGCTTGGGGTGTGGGAAAGAGGTGGGGAAGCATTTCAGACACAGAGAACAGACAATACAAAGGCCCTAAGGTGGAAGCTTGTCTGATGTGTCCCAGAAACAGCAGATAACAAGTGTGATTGGGCTAGAATAATTCAAGATTAATAATGGTAAAGGATATACACCCAGGAGTGGGATTGCTGGATCAACTGTGGTGGTGGTTACATGAATGCACATGTGATGAGATTTCACAGAATTAAATATACACAAAACCACACATAGGAATGTATGTAAAGCTGGTGAAATCTGAATAAAGTTACTAGATTTTACCAAAGTTGATTTCCTGGTTGTGGTATTGTATTATACCTATGCAAGATATTACCATTAGGAAAAACTGAATTAAGAGTTAACAAGGTCTCCCAGCATTATTTATTACCATTGCCTATAAATCTGCAACTACCTCCAAATAATGATTTTTTTTTTTTAAGAAAAGGAAAGAATTGTATAAAGCTGGAGATTTGGGATATCCTTTTACATTCGAGCTTATAGATTTAATGATATGTTGCATGTAGACTGTGAGATAGATTCTCAAGGACAGTCCTAAGTTTCGGGGCCCTGATAAGTGGATGAATAGGATGGTTCCACTTACGAAGAAGAAAAACAGTGAGGACAGTCCAGGTTTAGAGACTAGTGAATTTTGTTTTGAACATGTTAAATTTGAGATACTTAGCACAGCTTCAAGAAAAGAAATAAGGGGGATATAGCAATCGAGTATAGGGAGAATGTTGGAAGTAGAAAGAAACTGCAAAAGTCATTGGTGAACTTCACAAGAGTTGTTTTGGTTGAGTGGCGGAATCAAAAGTCTGACAGACATGTGTTCTAGAAGAAACAAAAGAGAAGGGTTTCAACAATGTTTGAACTAGTTGGGAGAGATCAATGAAGAATTTTTGGATTTGTTTGTGTTTGATGAATGTTAATACAAACTATTTGTATTATGTTGGATTTTGCCCAACAGAGAAAAAACTGATGATGATTGATGATCAATAATTAATTTGCTTTTATGCTTGGATAATAATTTAATTTTCAGCTACGGTTATTCTGCTCTTTGATTTTATATATGCATATTTTTTTCCTCAATGTGTCCCTTTACCTCTTCAACCTCCCTGTTTAAATCATTCTGATGTTTTGTCATCTTGCTTTAAGTATCTGATTTGCTGGATTCATGTTCTTACTAATTTTATAGTGAGAGGCAGTTGCTGGGAACATTCTTTTATTGGAGATCACTGTTTTGCATACTTAAGTGATTTATATTTGCATATTTCCCATGAATATACGTTCATCTTCCTCACATATAAGCAGCTTGGTTTAGACTTCCTTTCCTTTTAAATATATTTTGTTTATTCCTTACTATAGACTGAATGTTCGTGTCCCTCCAAAACTCATATGTTTAATCTATACCTTCCAATGTGATAATATAAGGTGGGGACTTAGGAGGGTAATTAGTATTAGATTAGGTTATGACCGTGGAGCCCTAAGGAATGAGATTAATTCCCTTATAAGCTTCATGAGAGAGATTGCTTTCTTTCTCTCATTCCACCACATGAGTCAGCAGTCTGCAATCCAGAAGAGAGGCTTCACCAGAACCTGACCATCCTGGCACCCTGATCTTGGTCTTCCCAGCCTCAAGAACTGTGAGAAATAAATCTGTTGTCTATAAGCTACCCAGTCTATGATGCCTTGGTATAGCATGCTAAATGGATTAGAACATCCTTTTTGATTCAATAATTTAATTGTACATCTTATCTGTCTGGCTCCTGAAAGCACTGGAATTTGCTAGCTATGGCTTAATGTAGCTAGTTTTAATGAAGTGTTTGTTGTTCCAACATAATTTGTTAAATAATCCATCACAACATTATAAAATACCACCTTCATTTAAATGAAATCATCATACAAACTTGGCTCTTTCTGTATTTATTACTCCTTTGAGGTGTTTTCTCTGTCTTTTCTATCATTGCACCAAACCTTTAGGATGATTTTATTACTAAGCTATTTTTAAATATCTGTTAATAGAAGTCATCATTTATTACTATTCAATTTTAGGATTTTATTGGTTAATTTCATACAAATAGTATTCTAGGAGAACTTGAAATAATTTCATCAAGTTTTTAAAATGCTTTTGGAGTTTTAATTGGAATTACATAAAATTTATGTTTAATTTGGAGAGACCTAACATCTTATTAATTTTTATTCCTGGAGCTGTTTTCATTCCTTTTTTGAATTAGGGCTACTAGAGCATTTATAGCCGGTTTTTTTGGTCAAAAATAGCAGCTCAAATTAATTCAACCAATCTAATGCATATTTTGATATAATATTAATGCATTTAGCATTTCATATCTTTTCACCTTCTCTAGGTTTATCTTGCTTTTTTTAGCTTCTTGAGTTAAATGATTTGCTTGCATTATTTCTCTTTGATAAGTAAGTATCTAAGGACATAAAATTCCCTCTGAGAGCATCTTTATTTTTTTCAGTTCATTGCTGTGTAGTGAGGGGCTAGAAAGCTAATTTGGAGGCTATTAGCACCTATTTTGCTAGAAAAGGCGTATTTCCAAAGAAAGGGTGACAGGAGATATTTAAAATAAAAAGTCAAGAAATCTAGGCTATTTTCAGTTCAAAATGATATCTGGCAAACAAATCAAGAGGCAGCTTCTCCCGGTCAGCCAGTAAAGTAACAAGGAAAAAATACAAAAAGTTAAAAATGAACTGCTCTAAAACCTAAGACTGACACTATTATGAGTATCTGTAAGGAATTTTCAACTGAGTTGGAGTAGGATGAGAAGGAAAAAAAATGCTTGTCCTTTCCATGTTTTACTTTGGGAAATGGGAGAATACCACATCTCAAAAAAGAATAAAAAGAGCTTATTATCTCCACTGTGATATGTGCTCTGACTCCCATACATAGGATCTATACCTACAAGAAAACTAAACGGCTCATCTTGATTTTAGAAACAGATCATTTCAAAATAAAATGGGAACACTGTCCTAAAGACTCAAAAGTACTTAAAAGAAATGATAATTACATAAGTATGTTTCACTTATAATACTTCTCTAAGATTCACAATTATGAACTGTATATTTTTTCTGTATTTATAGCATATGTTAAGAAAAACATTAAGAAGCAAAAGTAATGCATGTTTATTAAAAATTTAAAGACTACAGAAAATATGTAGGAGAAATTTAAAAAGCCATAATCCTGCCACCAGAGATATCTACTAAGATATATTGATTTGATTCCTTTCAGTATCCTTTCTGTGTACACATACACAGACTCACATGCACATATGTGTAAATACAGATGTGTGTGTATGTAAACGTGTGTATTAGGTAGACATATAAATTCATTAATTCAACAAATATTCTTGAGTGCTAACCAGGTGATGCCCTAGACCAGGAGTTGACAGACTATGGCCCATATGCCAAAACTAGCCTCTATGGCATACTGTCTGTTTTTGTAAATAGTGTTTTATTTAAACACAGCCCTTTCATTTTCACACTTACTGATTTACATATTGTCTGTGGTAGATTTCATGCTACAATAGCGGAGTTAAGTAATTGTACGGAAGATTGTATGGATTGCAAAGTCTAAAACATTAAATATCTTGCTCTTGACAAAACAAACAAACAAAAAAAAAACAACAACAAGCACCAACTCCTTATCTATGCTCTAAGGGACAATAATGAACAAAGGAACGTCTTGGCCTCCCAGGACTTACAGTCTGAAAAGGAATATAGACAGTAAACAGGTAGGTTTATATGGTTAATGTCTGGTAGCGATACAGACTATCAAGAAAGATAAATATGGGTGCAGAGTACTAAGGGTCACAATTCTAGACATGGTGGTCTGAGAAGGTCTTTCTAATTAGGTAAATAGCAAAGACTTGGAACCAACCCAAATGTCCAACAATGACAGACTGGATTAAGAAAATGTGGCACATATACACCATGGAATACTATGCAGCCATAAAAAATGATGAATTCATGTCCTTTGTAGGGACATGGATGAAATTGGAAACCATCATTCTCAGTAAACTATCGCAAGAACAAAAAACCAAACACCGCATATTCTCACTCATAGGTGGGAATTGAACAATGAGATCACATGGACACAGGAAGGGGAACATCACACTCTGGGGACTGTTGTGGGGTGGGGGGAGGAGGGAGGGATAGCATTGCGAGATATACCTAATGCTAGATGACGAGTTAGTGGGTGCAGCGCACCAGCATTGCACATGTATACGTATGTAACTAACCTGCACAATGTGCACATGTACCCTAAAACTTAAAGTATAATAAAATAAAATAAAATAAAAAGAGTGGAGTAGATCCCTGAAGAAGTGAATAAGTGAACCATGCAAATGTCTGGGGCAAGAGCAATTGAGACAAAAAGAAAGGCACATATATTGTCACTAAGGTGGATGAGCACCAAGTGTGTTTAGGGAAGATCAAAGAGGCACATGTGGGTGGAGTGCAGGAAGGAGAAGAAGAGCAGTAAATGAGGATGGAAAGGTAAGCTGGGGTCAGGACATGGAGAGCTCCTTATGCCATAGTAATGAGTTTTGGTTTCATTTCAATTATGGTAGAAACCCAGCAGAAGGCTTGATTAGGGAAGCGATGTGATCTGACTTATAAATATCTGCATATATTTTAATATTTGTGCACTAGTGTTACACAGAAGGCAAAAGCATGACGTCTTGGAGTATAACACACCTGATTCAAATCCTAGCTTGGCACTTGCTATATAAATGACAATAGGCATGTTATATGAACTCCTTAGGCTTCGTTTTTCTCAACTGCATCATGAGGTTAACAATATCTACCCCATATGATTGTTATTAAATATATATTCCAATGTTTGATATACAATATATGTTTAATAAACAGTAGCAATGGCTATAATTTGTCTGTATACATCAGATATAATGAAAATGCGGCCAGGTGCGGTGGCTCACGCCTGTAATCCCAGCACTTTGGGAGGCCGAGGCGGGTGGATCACCAGGTCAGGAGATGGAGACCATCCTGGCTAACACGGTGAAACCCCGTCTCTACTAAAAACACAAAAAATTAGCCGGGCATGGTAGCGGGCGCCTGTAGTCCCAGCTACTCGGGAGGCTGAGGCAGGAGAATGGCGTGAACCCGGGAGGCGGAGTTTGCAGTGAGCTGAGATCGCGCCACTGCACCCCAGCCTGCGGGACAGAGCGAGACTCCGTCTCAAAAAACAAACAAACAAACAAAAAAACCAGATATAATGAAAATGCATACATATACTCCCTCAAAACTATTAATACAAACATATTTGAGGCGGTATACACAGTGGTTAAAAGGGAAGACATTACAGTCATACTATTAGAGGCTGACTTGGCTCCACCCTACTAGTTGTTTGATCTTTTGAAAGTTACTTCATCCCTCTGGGCTTCAGTCTCTTCATGTGTAAAATGCAGAAAATTGTGATACTTGCCTCAAAGGATGTGCTATGAAGATTAAAGGAATGCACACATGTAAAGTTCTTAGAATATTACCTGGCATACAGAAAGTACTATGCAGAGGGCAGCCACAGCAAATATGCTTTGGTTAAAAGTAGGAAAAAGTGCTCCTTTTTCAAGACACTTCTCTTTGGTCTGTTAGAAAATAAACTGACTTCGCTAGAACAAGACATTTTACTGGCATGAATTTTTAAATCATTACTTGAAATACAGTGAAACATGATATTTTAATTTGCATTTACTTGACTACTCATGAAATTATGTTTCCTTATACCCTAGCTGATTATCAATGATTTGCTGTTCAATCCGTTAATCATCTTTTTCATGTTTTTCGGTCTATTATTCTACTGTATTTTCTTTTGTGTTTCCCATTAATTGTGGACAGTCCCTCTACATTGTGATTTTAACTCTTCTTCATAACCTTGATAAATATTTTTGCAGATTTTTTGTAACTTAACATGATCATTCCTGCACAATAATTAAAGCATCAATCATTCCAAGTAGAGGTAAAAACAAGTATTTTGGCAGAGCTAGAGAACGGAGTTTTGCAAGGGGAGGTGGTGACAAGTGGAGGAACAGAGAGAAGCATGCAAAACACTGTAACATGTTGAGCCTTGTATTCTTAAGGGATCCTGATTTTATTCTATAAATACAATTCTATAAACACAAAAAGAATACAATTCTGTGGAGTGAGACTAAGAAACAATGTGAAAGTGGGAGGTGACATTCTCAGATTGAGATTATCCAGACAGCAGTGTAGAAAATAAACAGGTAAGGGGGCTAATATATCCATATCATAGATTAACCTGTCTCTCAATGCAGCAGCTATTCACATTAGCAAAAAAAAAAAAAAAAAAAAAAAAAATCAACGAACAACAGAGCATCCCTTAGACTGTGGCTAATGACGAGAGCCAGAGGAAATCTCTGCTTCCTGCCAGCCACCATATTCAGCAACACTTAGTAGTACCTACAGCATCAATTGTGGTAGCATCAGTGGCACCTGTACCAAGAACAGCATTTGCAGCAACAAACAGTCAGGCAAGAACTGGCATGGGGTCATTTTTACATTTGGTGGTACTTAAGCAGAAAGTGCCAAAGGAAAAAGTAAATTTTTATTAGGCTCTTGAGATATGATAGTAGAGCTTCTGATGTGAAACATCTTTGGAGAACTTTTGTGACACAGCTCCTGATAGAGTTTTGGCCTCAAACTATAAAATCTTGTATGTATTGATCTCAACAATATTACTTTATGAACGCTATGCATTTGAGTTTTTATTTTCTTATTGTCTTATCATTGCCTTAGCAATGCATTTACAACTTTTGTGATTCAATTCATATTTTATGGCAGTGTTGACAAAGAATGTAGTCTATACTACTCCTATTTGTAATATTGGTTTCCTTGTGGCTTAATAAATGATCAACTTTTGTTAAGATTATATGGTTATTTGAGAATAAAGGATGATTTCTACTTGTCATATGAATCTGTCATATCATCAATATAGTGAATGCTTCTTTTAATCTAAATTACTGTTTTTTTTTTGAGACAGAGTTTCGCAATTTTTGCCGAGGCTGGAGTGCAATGGCCTGATCTTGGCTCACCACAACCTCTGCCTCCCAGGTTCAAGTGATTCTCCTGCCTCAGCCTCCCGAGTAGCTGGGATTACAGGCATGTGCCACCACGCCAGGCTAATTTTGTATTTTTAGTAGAGACGTGGTTTCTCCATGTTGGCCAGGCTGGTCTTGAACTCCCGACCTCAGGTGATATGCCTGCCTCGGCCTCCCACGGTGCTGGGATTATAGTCATGAGCCACCACGGCTGGCCATGGTGTCCAACTATTTACTGTTAATTTTCACGAGTAATTTTATTGGAGTATGCTATTGTAGATAGCATATAGTTGGGCTTTATATCCTGACCTAGTCTGATAAACTGTTATTTTAATTTGTGAATGTATCTAATATGAATAAGATCACATACTTATTATCAATATTTTCTGGTTTTTTTGTACTTTCTTGCTTATCCTTTTGTTCTTAATCTTTTAATTTTATGGTATGTTTTCCTTATTGTTGTCTCCCTATCCCACCCACAATTAATTTAGAAGGTAGGTAGTAAGCTTTTAGTTTTACTAGTTGTTATTTTAGCTTTTGAAATAATATTTAAACCTTCATTTTTAATTATAAACATTAATAATAGCCATTTCTAATGATTTCCCCTAGCTAAGTTGACAAAATTAGCACATTCATCTTTGCACCATCCCCCTACCCGACTTCTCACACTTCCCAGTTTTTGTTGCTTGTGATCTGGAAATTGTGTCCCAGTTTCATATTATTACATTATTTTTTCATTATGTATTGTCTTTTTCAAGAATTATATTTGCATTGTTTTAGAAGCAAATTTACATATTAATTTTTATTTAAATATATGTTTTAATCATGTCTCAGCTGGCCAGTTTATTTTTTCAAATATGCTTTTTAATAAGCAGATATAAGGCCATCCAGCCTTTTTTCCATCTGTAGATAACCTAATTTTCTTTTTTTTTTTTTTTGAGACGGAGTCTCACTCTGTCGCCCAGGCTGGAGCACAGTGGCGCGATCTTGGCTCACTGGAAGCTCCACCTCCCAGGTTCACAGTATTCTCCTGCCTCAGCCTCCCGAGTAGCTGGGACTGCAGGCTCCCACCACCACGCCCAGCTAATTTTTTTGAATTTTTGATAACCTAATTTTCTACTTATATGCCTATAGGATTATTTATCTTCAAAAATCAGAAATTTGACCTAATGTATTGTAGATGTAAGTTTTTCTTATTAATGATACCTCATCCATGGTAAGCCCTTTTGATTTGCAGATGCAGCTCTCTGTTCAGTAAAAATGAATTTAATTATATTCTTAAAACATGACTCAAAATGTCCCCAAGTTTTACCTTCCTTTAGGTATGAATAAGGTCACATTCATATTAATACTAAAATCTTGCTAGCTCCAAGTTCCCAACACCAAACATAAGTGTATGGTCCCTCCCTCTGAGCTGTGATTAGTTTAGGGCAAGAGTCCCACAGCAACATTCTTTGAATGCTGAAGTGTAAATATTTACTGAGGGAGAGCTACCAGTTAACAAACAGCTTCTTTTCTCTTGTTCACATGAACAAACATGACACCATGGCACTTCCAGAAAACCAGAGCTGCTCTGACATCAAGCTCTAGCCCTGTTTCTTCACTCTGTGTGAATTTAGGCAAGATATTGACAGCTTTAAATGTCAGTATCTTCAATTGTAAAATTTAGATAATAAAGAAAACTTAACCATAAAGTCATCTTAAAGACATAATGAATCAATACATACTTAACATTGAGCACACTAAATTGCAAACACTACACAAACACTGGCTGCATACACAATTATTGCATGGTGTTTTAGAATCACTTATTTCATTTAGTTAGTCTTGTGTAACCAGGCCAGATTCAATCTTCCTTTACAGTATATCCTTACTTAGGAACCTTGGTCTGTGTTCACAAACTGGCTTTGGTTCAGGCAAACCAAACTACAGCCCACCACCTGGGGTCTGAGTCCTTTAAAATGCCTGTATCTACCTCAACCCATCCTGTTCCATGTACCAAAGACTAAAAATGTATATCTCTATCCTGGACCTCTCTCTTGAATGTCAGATATCTAGCTCTAGCTGCCTACTTGATATCTTCATTTGCTATATATTTCTTGAGATAACAAAAGCTAACTCTTTACTTCTACCAACCTGTGAATCTGCTTCTACTCTGTACTCCTCCACCATGCACCCTCTATATCAGTAAACACCACCAGCTAACCTTTGTTGGTTGTATGTATTGGAGGTATCCTCTTCCAAGTTATGGTTTTTTAACTTTGTTCATGGTGCTTCTTCCTCACATTTTGCAATCCTAAGTTCTATTTTAAAAAATTTCTCTAGATTCTGGATGGTTTTTCAGTTCTACCTCTCAGTTCACTTCACTAATTCTCAATCCCTATCTTATCTATTTTGGTGCATATCTTGTACATGGAGGTTTGAGATTTAATTGGCAGTATTTTTCCTTTAAAATATGTAATTAGATTCTGTGACTTCTCAGTCAGAAAGGGTTGTTTATTCAGGGAAATCTGTCTTGCCCTGGATTGTAAAAGTGCCTCTTATAAGGGGTTCTAGGCTTGTTTTTCTGGGTCCCTCATATGACAGTACTCCTGATCAGTGTTAGTAATGTCTTGGCTTGTGGATCCAATGCTATATAATGAGCTCATTTTGATCCTCACACTTACGAAGCACAATATAGAAAGGAGCACAGAAACATATGTACTTGGTAAGAAAAATAGGAAGATGAATCTCCTGCAATAGCTGAGAAAAATAAGGTCTTCGTGAATGGAATCTTAGAATATTGAAGCTGAAATTATATTTGGAAATCAGTTTCTTTTACAGAAAAAAACCCTTAGGTTAAAAGAATTGAGGGGACATTTTCAAGTTAACATGCACGAAATTTACAGATCTCAAGAAAATGGGAAGGTTGTCAAGTATTCTATAAAAACCCAGGTCTTTCAAGCCTATTTTAATGCTATTTCCATTACATAATTCTCCTTAAAAATGCTGGTCCCACGCAAGGAGTTGCTACCTTTTCTGCAAGCTTTCTTTTTACAAGATACATGTAGATATCTGCTAAACAATATTGCCTGGCACATATACAGCTAGGTGAACTTTATGCTTGAGAAGATTTTGGAGAAAAATGAATCAAATAATGAATCACTTAAAAAAGGAGTCAAGAAAAAGAAGTACAGTTACCTGCTTTGGTAGACCCTAGGCTTGGTAACTTGTATTGGAAGAAATATTACTTTATTTGGAAAAATTATTTTCACTGTGATTAAGGATATTATCCTGTATTATGTAGGTGTGTCCTAAAATGCAATCACATGTGTCCTAGTTACAGAGGCAGAGGGAGATTTGTCCCAGAGAGAAAAGCAAAAGGCAATGTAACCATGGACACAGAGAATGGAGCGGTAACCACAACCCAAGAAACACTGGAGGCCATAAGAAGCTGGAAGAAACAAGAAACATATTCTTTTTTAGAGCTTCTGGAGAAAGTACAGCCCTGCTGACATCTTAATTTGTGCTCACTAAGAATGATTTCATACTTCTGGTCTCTAGAACATTGAGAATATAAATTTCTTTGATTTAAGCCACTAATTTTGTGGTTATTTGTTACAGCATCTCTAGGAAACTAATCACCTGCACATACCTATTAATGTAAAGTAAGAAGCAATAAACCCAGTGGCCTGTCTTCATTTTTCAGAAATCAAAATTACAGGTAAGCATTATTTTCAGTTCCATCCTGAGCATATTTTTAAATGATTCTTGCTGAACTTTACATCTTTTTTCCAAAGCTGCTATACAAAGTACCATCTGATTGTAGAGAACTGAATACTATGTGACCATGAGTCTACAGTTATCAATTCATGGAAGAAGCCAAATCTGCATCAGTCCAGGCAACTGCATGTGGGGCCTTGTCTTTGTGAAAATGGGCAAGGGTCACTTTGTGCATGTTTTCCAAGATGCCAACATTAGTCCCCTCAGAATTATCTTGTGCTGTGTTTTTCACTGTTAGCTAATCCTAGTATAAGAATTAGTATGCTCTCAGTTACAAGTAACAGAAAATTCAACTCAGAATGACTCAACCAACAAAGATGTCATCTCTTACAGCACGTTGTCTAGGAAGAAAGTTCTTTCCATTGTTTTGCTTTGCCATACTCACAACGGGGACCTTTTCTCAGGTTATTTTTCCCTATGCTTATATGATGGCTGCTGTAAAGCCAAGCATCACATGTAAACTCAACAATTTCCTGCAGAACGGCTTTCCCTGTATGTGTTTATTTTTAGGAGCAAGGAAGATTTCCTCTGAAAGTCCCTAGCTGAGCTTCCCTCATGTCTCATTAACCATAAATGGGTTTCACACCTACCCCCAAGTCATAAATTGATGGTTTTTTCACTAATCAGGAATTATCCCGTAGCTAGAGATAAGATTCCCTTTCATGAGGGAAAATAACTGAGGAAAAGTTGGGCTTTACTAACACAAATGAAGGCAGGTAGGACTGTTGGATAGACAATCAAAATTTCAAGTGAACTACAAATAAAACAGTATACTTACTTTTCCATGAAATTTGATAATTCAATTTAGTCTTAGTATGAGATTAGCACAATGTGACTCAAAGCAACCTACATAAAAAAGACATTTTTAAGTTGATATGTCATTAAAAACCAGAGCTGTGATATAACATCCCTGCTATAGTTTAAATATTTGATTCCTCCAAACCTCTTGTCGAAATTTGATCCCCAATGTTGGAGATGTGGCCTAATGGGAGATGTTTGGGACATAGAAGCAGATCTCTCATGAATAGATGAATGCTCTGCCTGGACTGGAGGTGACTGAGTTCTTGCTCTATTTGTTTCTGTGAGAGCCGAACAAACAAACAAAAAAGCCTGGTACGATCTCTGCTGTGTCTTGCTTCCTCTCTTACCATGTGATCTCTGCAAAAGCTGGCTCTCTTTCCTCTTCTGCCATGAGTGGAAGTAGCCTGAAGTCCTCACATGAAGCCAAACAGATGCCAGCACCATGCTTCAGGAGCAGCCTGCTGAACTTTAAGTGAAATAAACCTCTTCTTAAAATAAATTACCCACCCTCAGATATTCCTTTATAGCAACACAAATAAACTAAGACAATCCCAACATAAATATTCTAAAACCTAAGGTAGTCAATCCATGATGCATGGTGAAGGAGTAGAGGGTAGAAACAGACTCATGGGTTGATAGAAATAAAGAGTTTTCTTTTGCTATCTTAAGAAATTTGAGATACCTGTTATAGATATGAGATGGATATATCAAGTAGGCAGTTAGAACTAGGTATCTGACACTCAGTAGAGAGGTCCAGGCTAGAGATACACATTTACAATCTTTGGCACATGGAACAGGATTGGTTAAGATACTACAGACATTTCTAAAGGTGGTAGGTTGTAGTTAGGTTTGTCTGAACCACATCCAGGCATAACCACAAAGCCAGGTTTCTAAGTGAGAATTTATGATGAAGGAGGATTGAGTCTGGCCTGGTTATACAAGACTAAACAAAAGAAAATAGTTGTTCTATTTAAAGCACTATGAAATAATTATGTATATAGCCAATGTTTACAGAGTGTCTACAATTTACCAGGCTCAGTGTTAAGCCTTAAGTATATATGAACTTATTATGTCTTTATGATGACCCTATGGTTAAAGTTTAATTATTATCCAAATTTTACAATTGACACACTAAAATTTAGAGTTATGTATTAGTTTATTTCCATGCTACTGATGAAGACATACCTGAGACAGGGTAATTTATAAATAAAAAGAGGTTTAATGTACTCACAGTTATACATGGCTGGGGAGGCCTCACAATCATGGCAGAAGGTGGAAGGCACATCTTAACATGGTGGCAGACAAGACACAATGAAAGCCTAGTGAAAGAGGAAACCTTTTATAAAATCATCAGATCTTGTGAGACTTATTCACTACCATGAGAACAGTATAGGGGAAACTGCCCCCATGTTTCAATTGTCTTCCACCGGGTCCCTCCTGCAACATGTGGTAATTTTGGGAGCTACAATTCAAGATGAGATTTGGGTAGGGACACAGCCAAACCATATCAAGCTGTCAATACATTGCCTAAATGTAAGCAAAGTTTAGAAAAATAAAGAAGCAGGGTTAGGTCCTGATGTCAGAGCTGCTCTGGTTTTCTGAGAATGCCCAGAAAATACATGGGAATGCAAACTGAATTCAACAGTATATTAGAAATATTGATCATGACAAAATAGGAGTTTTTTTTCTGGGATGCAAGGATGGTTCAACATACGCAAATCATACAATGTGATACACCATATCAACAGAATGAAGGATAAAAACCATATGAACATTTCAATTAATACTAACAAAGTATTTGTAAAACTTTAACATCACTTCATGATAAACACACACACACACACACACACACACACACACACACACACACACAAACTGGGTATAAAAGGAACATACCTAAACATAATAAAAACTATATGTGACAAACACACAGGTAGTATCCTACTGAATAGAGAAAAACTGAAAGCCTTTCCTCTAAGATCTGGAACATGACAGGGATGTCCACTGCCATCACTGTTATTCAACATAGTACTGGAAACCCTAGCTACAGCAATCAGTCAAGGGAAAGATATAAAGGATATCTAAATTAGAAAGGAAGCATTCAAATTATCCTTGTTTGTAGATTATATGATTTTATGTTTGAAAAAACATTTATACTTTACAAGAAAACAATTAGAACTGATAAACAGATTCAGTAAGGTTACAGTATATAAAATCAATATACAAAATCCAGTAGCACTTCTACATTCCAACAGTGAGCAATGTGAAAAGGAAATTTAAAAAGTAATCCCATTTACAATAGCTACAGATAAAATACATACCTAGGAATTAACTTAACCTAAGAAATGAAATATTTCTATAATGAAAACTATAAAATGCTGATGAAAGAAATTGAAAAGAATACAAAAAGTTGGAAAGATATTCCATGTTCATAGATGGGAAAAATCAAGGCTGGGTGCGGTGGCTCATGCCTGTAATCCCAGCACTTTGGGAGGCCGAGGTGGGTGGATCATGAAGTCAGGAGATCGAGACCATCCTAGCAAACATGGTGAAACCCCGTCTCTACTAAAAATACAAAAAAATTAGCCGGGCGTGGTGGCAGGTGCCTGTAGTCCCAGCTACGCGGGAGACTGAGGCAGGAGAATGGAGTGAACCCAGGAGGCGGAGCTTGCAGTGAGCCGAGATGGCGCCACTGCACTCCAGCCTGGGCGACAGAGGGAGACTCCGTCTCAAAAAAAAAAAAAAAAAAAAAAAAAAAAATCAATATTGTTAAAATGTCCACACTACTCAAAGCAATCTACAGATTCAATGTAATTCCTAACAATATACCAATGACAGTCTTCATAGAAATAAAATAAAACAATCTTAAAACTTCTTTGGAACCAAAGAAGACCCAGAATAGCCAAAGCTATCCTAAGCAAAGTGAACAAAACTGGAGGAATCACATTGCCTGACTTCAAATACTATTATAGTTATAGTTATCAAAAGAGCATGGTACTGGCATACAAACAGACATGTAGAGCAATGGAACAGAATAGAGAACCAAGAAACAAACCATACATCTACAGTGAACTCAGGTTCAACAAAGTTGCCAAGAATATACACTGGGGAAAAGACAGTGTCTTCAATAAATGCTGCTGGGAAAACTGGATATCCAAATATAAAAGAATAAAACTGGGCCTCTACATTTTGCTGTATACAAAAAATCAAATCAAAATGGATTAAAGACTAAAACTAAGACCTCAAACTAGGAAACTACTACAAGGATACATTGTTGAAAGTCTCCAGGACATTGGTCTGGGCAATGATTTATTCAGTAATGCCCCACAAGCACAGGCAAGCAATGCAAAAATGGACAAATGGGATCACATCAAGTTAAAAAGCTTCTGCACAGCAAAGGATACATTCAACAAAGTGAGGAGACAACCCACAGAATGGGCAAGAATACTTGCAAATTATCCATCTGACAAGGGATTAATAACCAGAATATATAAGGAGCCCAAACAACTCTATAGGAAAAAATCTAATAATCTGATTAAAATATGAGAAAAATATTGGAATGGACAATTTCTCAAAAGAAGAAAAGCAAATGGCACACAAGTATATAATAACGTGCTGAACACAAGTATATAATAAGGTGCTCAACATCATTGATCATCAGAGAAATGCAAATAAAAACTACAATGAGATGTTATCACATCTCATTTAAAATAGCTTATATCCAAAAAACAGGCAATAGCAAATGCTGGTGAGGTTGTGGATAAAAGGGAACCCTCTTTCATGTTCGTGTACATGAAGCCAGCTTCATGTACACTGTTGATGGGAACGGAAATTAGTACAACCAATATGGAGAACAGTTTGAAGTTTCCTCAAAAAACTAAAAATTGAGCTACCATATGATCCAGCAATCCCACTGCTGAGTATATAACCGAAACAAAGGAAATCAATATATAGAAGAGATATCTGCACTCCTGTGTTTGTTGCTGTACTGTTAATAACAGCTAAGATTTGGAAGCAACCTAAGTGTCCATTAACAGATGAAGGGATAAAGAAAATACAGTACACATACATAATAGAGTATTATTTAGCCATAAAAGAATGTGATGCTGTCATTTGCAACAACATAGATGGAACTGGAGATCATTATGTTAATTGAAATAAGTCAGGTATAGAAAGACAAACATCACATGTTTTCACTTATTTGTGGGTTCTAGAAATCAAAACAATTGAACTCATGGGCATAGAGAGTAGAAGGATGGTGATCAAAGGCTGGGAAGCATAGTGGGGGCCTCGGGAAGAGGTGGGGATAGTTATTGGGTACAAAAAAATGTTTAAAAGAATGAAGAAGACCTACTATTGATTGCACAACAGGGTTACTATGGTCAATAACTGAATTATCCCTTTTAAAATAACTCAGAGAGTGTAATGGGATTGTTTGTGACACAAAGGATAAATGCTTGAGGTGATGGATACCATACCGTTTTCCATGATACAATTATTTCAAATTGCATGCCTGTATCAAAACATCTTATGCATCCCATAAATACATACACTTAATATGTGACTACAGAAATTAAAAATTAAAAACATAATAAAAAGTAATAAAAAACCACTTCTTATCATCACTCTTCTAAGGGGCAAATAAAATACTCAAATGTAAGGCTAGCAAGACATTTTCAATAAGATAACTGTCCCTGGTAAAGAAAGAGCATAAAGATGACCTTTGGAAAGACTACTGAAATGGTAGGGAGAGGGCATTTTAGATAGAGGGAACAACAGGTGTATATCAAAGCATAGAACATATAAGTCAGCATAGTGCAGTGTGTTTACCAAGCCACAAGTAGTTCAGTGTGGATGGAGTATTTTGTGTGGAGAAAGAGCAATGTGAGGTGGGAGATGTGTTGAAAAATGAAGTAAGAGTGAGTATCAGGGGTCATATAATACCAAAAAGGTTCCTATAAATTATGTAAAGAGTTTGGACATTTAATATAACCCCAGAGTTCCACTGAAGGGTTTATACATGGGGGAGAAAGTATCAGCAATGATCAAATGAACATGGTGGTTCATTTAAAGATTGATTTTAAAACGTGGTATTAAGAGATCAGGAAGACCATTTAGGCTGAGTTCTATGACACACTTTCACCATGGCAGGTAATTGCCAGGAGTATAGGAAAGAGCTCAACTGTGCACACCTTGGTATGGACAGTGAATGTCCTATGACAACGACTGTGCCATGGCTCACTGACTGCCAAGTACAACTGTTTGACTAGAGAGATAGCCAGAAATGCACAAGCAAGGGAGCCACTGAGGAAATAAGTCCTGGAGACGCTGCCCACTGACAGTCAGCAAATAGACGATGGCTACACTGGCTACTTCTGGCCTTGTTGTTGGACCTAAAGGGGACCTATTGGGCCCTAACTGGAGATTACCATGGTAGGGAATTTCCCCACTGATGAGCATGTGCACTCCTCCAATAACTCGCCCCGCAGTAGCCTTTTGCTCATTATAATAGTAAAAAAACACACCTCTAGGTGGAGATTTTAAATGCTAATGAGACATGCAGCATGTGTACTAGCATGTAGAACCACAGAGCATGTGTACCCAAGGGGACCACCTAAAAGATGACTGCAAGTAACCTCCCATCATGCCCCTCCATGAATAATCATGTAAAATTATCATATGGAGAGTCCCTCATCACTAGCTGCTGCTGGCTTGTTCTCTTTTTGGAGCAGCCCACTCTGACTCATCTTCCAGAGTGTATGGTCTTTTTAAATAAACAATGCTACTGCTATTTTTCCAGCCAAACCAACCCAGAACTGTTTTCCAGCTGGAGCAGCCTGGTGCTGTTTTTTGTGTCAGCCTGCTCCTCCCTTGGAACATACTTTATCGTCCTTCAATGAACTCTGCTACTTAACTCTTGCTGTGCGTCTCTTGGATGAATTTTTTTTTTTCCAATAAGACAAGAACCTAGGACTCTGCAACCCTGCCAGAAACACAATAAATGACCACGTACTATAGTACAAATGAATAAACAAGGAAGGCACGGGGAAATAAGGTTTCAGACCATCAAATTTTGGAAAACATAGAAAAAAAGTTATCTTGGAAAGTTAGGATCCATTGAATCTTCTGGTCAGAATCAATTTGCCCTAGTACATGTAAATTTTCACTTGGGACATCAAAGGTGTAGGAATAAAAACTTAAAATCCAATGTATACAGGTTAGAAAATGTTGGCTCCAGACACGCTACTGGAGATCATTCAGTCCATCATGTCTTTATAAAAATTTGAAAACTCAGGTTTATAAAGGCAAATTGATTTGTCTAGTGTCACATAGTTAGCTAGTTGCAGATGTGAAAGTAGCAATTTAGGTCTCCTGATGTATAGTTCGATGTACAGCTTGGTATTTTGTTGACCTCATGTTGAAATATTGAAAGACAGAGAATATGATAAATGTCCTCATAAATACTCTACGTCACTGCTTCTTTTAATATGGCAGGCAATCTTATTTTGAATTTAGTTTCCTCATTTTCTTTAACATATGTGCAGATGTCTGAGTTCCCATTTATATGGTGGTAGAAGGAGTAGAATATGAAGTTAGAGAAGAGTCCAGAAACTGGATGCTCCATAACAACCTATTAGAAAGCTGAAAAGCTTATCTTCATCAGACACAATTACAGCCTCTAATTCAGCTCACTACTTATTGAATTCAAATCTTGGAAACTGCCTTAATATGCAATAGTTCATGTCACTGATAGGTTTTGGAGTAGATTTTATTAGCTGCAAACAAGGAATTATCTAAATATGATTTGTCCTTTTCCTAGGTGGTACCCTGGGGTAAAATTTCCAGCTTCTATAAAGCATTGCTATCATTTTGTGGCAGTTAATGCCACAAACAAAAATAGACAAGCAGAAATTTTTCCATAAAATGATCAGTCCTTTGGACTATTCATGATATAAGTTGACTGCAGAATCCCTAGAGGAAAAGTGACCCTGGAGAAAAATTACACAGCAAAAACAATCATTTTGATCAACAATTGAAAACATTTTTGTCAATTAAAAATATGCTTTCACTCCTGACTCCTATGTGACGAAATTCTTTATGTCCTTGCATATGTTAACCACTCAGGGGCAACAGCCTTTAGCTGAAATTCCCCATGTATTTCCTATGATGGGCTACTTCTTAGAGCAACTCTTTTTCTCTCCTCCTTTTACTTCCTGTATTCCTCTTTACCTCGTCCAGGGCTGTGGTAGGACAGGACTGTGGTGGAAGAATTGATTATGAAAAGGAGAATGTAATCAATTGCTGCAGATTCCACTTTCTAGTTCGAAATCAGATTTAATCTCAACTCTAAATCTTTACTACACTCTCCTTTCCCTCATCTCTTAATCAGCATATACACTAAACTCCAGTCATGCTATTTACCCCAGACCCCAGACTCCTTTGAAAAAAATCCCCAAATAATCAAGTCCAGATTAAATAATAATGATATTATAAAGATAGTTATGATTTATGAGGAGTCCAGTATGTATTTGGTTCTATTAAGAGCTTTCTAATATATTACCTGATGTAATCCTCATAATGATAATCTGAGATAGATACTATCTTTACTTAATTGTTATGATTGATTCATGTGTATTAGTTTCCTGTGCCTGCTATAAAATATCACCACAAACTTGGTGGCTTAAAACAACAAAAATGTATTATCTCACAGTTCTGAAGGCCAGAAATCTGAAATCAGTATTACTAGAGTGAAATCAAAGTGTTGTCAGGGCCACACTCCCTTAAGAAGAGTTAATGGAAAATTGCTTTCTTGTCTCTTCAGCTTCTGGTGGCTGCCAGTATTCCTTGGCTTGTGGGCACATTATTCCAATCTTGGCCTTTATGGTGACTTTTCCTTCCCTTCTTCTCTCTGTCATAAAATAGCTCTCTCTTACATAAGAATGCACGTGGCTACATTTAGGGTCTACCTGGATAATACAGAATGACCTTTCCATCTCAAGATCCTTTGCTTAATCATATCTGCAAAGTCACAGTTATTGAAAGAGAAGCAGGTGGGAGAGTTCCTGGGGTCAACTGAACACTAGAGAAGAGAGGCATAAACTTGGAACTGGATAACTCAAAAAAAGAGGAAGTTTTCACCCTCCCCAACCCTTATATGAAAACCTCTATAATTATTTTTATGCCTGCTCCCAGCTTTCACCCTGCTGAAGCCTATACTTTAGGACATGTACAAATGTCTCAGTAGTTTATATCTAGTGATTTCCTCACATCCACCACTTTGTTACAGAATGATTTTTGTTAGTTACTGTTATAGGTTGAATAGTACACCTACCTCCAAATAATCTGTGTTGAAGTCTTAACTTCCAGTACCTCAAAATGTGACTTTATTTGGAAATAGTTTTATCACAGATGCAATTAGTTAAGACTTTCCTACATCAGCTACATTTGACCTATTCAATCTCCCACTGGAGATTGAATCTGGAAATATCCAGAATGCTTCAAAATCTCCACTAACAAGTACAATGATGGATAGCCTTGCATAATGTAGTAGTCCATTTTTACACTGCTAATAAAGACATACCTGAGACTGTGTAACGTATAAAGAATAAGAAGTTTAATGGATGCACAGTTCCACATGGCTGGGGAGGCCTCACAACCGTGGTGGAAGGCAAAGGAGGAGCAAAGGCATGTCTTACATGGCAGCAGGCGAGAGAGTTTGTACAGGGGAACTCCCATTTATAAAACTATCAGATATCATGAGACTTATTCACTACCACAAGAACGATATGGGGGAAAATGCCTCTATGATTCAATTATCTCCACCTGGCTCCACCCTTCACACATGGGGATTATTACAATTCAAGGTGAGATGTGGGTGGGGACACAGACAAACCATTTCATTCCACCCCGGCCACTCCCAAATCTCATGCCCTCACATTTCAAAACCAAGCATGCCTTCCCAACAGTCCCCCAAAGTCTTAACTCATTTCTGCATTAACTCAAAAGTCTACAGTCCAAAGTTTTACCCAAGACAAGGCAAGTCCCTTCTGCCTATGAGCCTGTAAAATCAAAAGCAAGTTAGTTACTTCCTACATACAATGGGGGTATAGGCATTGGGTAAATTCACCCATTCCAAATGGGAGAAAATGGCAAAAACAAAGGGGGTACAGGCCCCATGCAAGTCCAAAATCCAGCAGGGCAGTCAAATCTTAAATCCCAGAAATGATCTCCTTTGACTCCATGTCTCATATCCAGATCATGGTGTTGCAAGAAGTCGGCTCCCATGGCTTTGAGCAGCTCTGCTCTTGTGGCTTTGCAGGTTACAGTCTGCCTCCTGGCTGCTTTCACGGGCTTATGTACAGCATCTATGACTTTTCTAGGTGCATGGTACAAGCTGTTGGTGGATCTACCATTCTGAGGTCTGGAGGATGGTGGCCCTCTTCCCACAGTTCCACTAGGCAGTTCTTCGGTGAAGACTCTGTGTGGGGGCTCCAACCCCACATTTCCCTTCCTCACTGCCCTACCAGTGGTTCTCCATGAGGGTTCCACCCCTGCAGCAGACTTCTGCCTGGACATTGAGGAGTTTTCATACATCCTCTGCAATCTAAGCAGAGGTTCCCAAACCTCAATTCTTGATTTCTGCACACCCCAGGCCCAACACCACAAGGAATCTGCGAAGGCGTGGGGCTTGCACCCTCTGAAGCAATGGCCTGAGCTGTATGTTGGCCTCTTTTAGCCACAGCTAGAGCAGCTTAGATGCAGGGCACCAAGTCCCAAGGCTGCATACAGCTAGGGGGGGCCCTGGGCCCAATCCGGAAAACCATTTTTCCCTCTTAGGCCTTTGGGCCTGTGATGGCAGAGGCTGCCATGAAAGTCTTGGACATGCTCTGGAAAAATGTTCCCCCTTGTCTTGGTGATTAATATTCATCTCCTTGTTACTTTTGCAGATTTCTGCAGCTGGCTTGATTTTCTCCTCAGAAAATGGGTTTTTCTTTCTATCTCATCCTCAGGCTGCAAATTTTTCAAACTTTTATGCTCTGCTTCCTCTTGAATGCTTTACTGCTTAGAAATTTCTTCCCCCAGATACCCTAAATCATCTCAAGTTCAAAGTTCCACAGATCTCTAGGGCAGGGGCAAAATGTCACCAGTCTCTTTGTACAGCAAGAGTAATCTTTACTCCAGTTACCAACAAGTTCCTCATCTCCATCTCAGACCAACTCAGCCTCAACTCAATATGGACTTCATTGTCCATATTACTATCAGCATTTTGGTCAAAACCATTCAACAATTCTCTAGGAAGTTCCAAACTTTCCCATATCTTCCTGTCTTCTAAGCCATCTAAACTGTTCCAACCTCTGCCTGTTACCCAGTTCCAAAGTCACTTTCCCATTTTCTGGTATCTTTACAACAGCACCCCACTACTCTTTAGCAATTTATTGTATTAGTCCATTCTCATACTGCTAATAAAGACATACCCAAGACTGGGTAATTTATAAAGAAAAAGAGGCTTAATGGACTCACAGTTCCACATGGCTGTAGAGGCCTCACAATCATGGTGGAAGGCACAGGAGGAGCAAAGGCACATCTTACATGGCGGCAGGAAAAAGCGCTTGTGCAGGCAAACTCCCATTTATAAAACCATCAGATCTTGTGAGAATTGTTCACTACCATGAGAACAGTATGAGGGAAACCACCCCCATGATTCAATTATCTCCACCTGGGCCCACCCTCGACACATGGGGATTATTACAATTCAAGGTGAGATTTAGGTGGAGACACAGCCAAACCATATCACATAAGTTCTTTGAAGACCCTGTCTGGGAAATAATTTGGGGTGCTGTATTGTTCTCCAGAATGACAGTAATTTACCTTTTCATCAGCAGTGCCTGAAGGCTTCTATATTTACATATTTCTGCCAATAATTGGCATTATACTGCTATCTGATTTTAACCAGGTTAATAGGTAAAGCAATGTGTCTGCAATTTTGTGTTCTCTGCTTACTACAGAGATTTTTTTTAATTCTGAGATTTTGATTAAGATAGAAATGTATAGATTGAGGTTTGATTAGTCAGTATTGTCCCATACCACAAAGTCTTCAAGATATGAAAACTGAGACAAGGATATTGGTTTTGAAAATTAACAGGACATTATAATAAGTAATTTCAATTGTGTAGTGAGAAATTAATCCAGCTTTCAATATTGAATGCTGAAAAAAACTTAGCTAGTAAGATTCTTAAAAGTTACATAATAAAGGTATAGTAGCCTCAGATAAATGACATAGTCACATAATATTCAATGATGAGAATGCCCACGTGCAGTACAAATAAAGGAAAATACACATCTTAAAAGGATCAAAATTTATCAATGTTTAATGTGTTAAGAGGGAGAAAATGGACACAAAATACAATCTTAGAAAAGGTAGGAAAAATAAAGGGAAAATATGAGGAGAAATGAAAGTGCTAATTGGTGGAAACACCTTGCTATTTGGATAGGTCAGTCAACGACAAAGCCCTAACAGCTGGTAACCATTTGAAATAAAATAGGCATTGCTTATTGGGATAAATACTGTGAATTAGATGCATTGAATTCATTTTCAGCCTGGATCCAAAGCTTTAGAAAATATTAAATTTATATTCCAAAATTATATCTGAATAAAATCAAAGCATTATATCAAGTGGACAAATAAATTGTTTTAATGTGTCTAATATTTGTATTAGCAGACTCACCACTGAAACTCTCCAATATGTAGTCTGGCCTTTTCTGGTCAAGGTCATGTGGAAGGCAGAAAAACATCATTAGTACAACCAAATAAGTTTTTGCCATTTCTATGTCATTTAGATCTTCTCAATGATAAATTCCTATAGATCCTTGAGAGTCTTACACAATATTTATAAGAAAGGGTTTGGCACTGTCTACTGAAATGAACGTTTCCCATTTTAAGTACTCTTGAATTCAGTTAGATTTTTAATAAACATTTTGTGATCATTTTCTAAAACATAAACATTACCAGTTTTACAGATATCATAACTAGTAAGTCATATTATTCACTGTTCTAAACTTTACATTTCAGTGTAAATATCATGAGAGTGAAAATGAATGTCTTCTAGGAAAAAATTCAGGGCTTCTCAGTGTACTCCTTTTTTTAAACTTGCTTTTAAACTAAGTTTAATATTACGAATGGAATAAAATACTAATAGGCTGGTTTAGTTTATAAAGTCTATATTCCAGCTCCAAAATCAACATTGGTTAATGATAGAAGACTTGGAAATTATTAATTGCAGCATGACTATTTCAGGTAGCACAATCAGTTTTCCAAGATTCCTTTTCATCATTATCAAAAGTCTGTGCATAGGTTTCTTACAATCATAGAATCACAAAAAAATTTAGACTGGCTAACATTGCTCCAAAACAATCTGTAGGACATGCTAATTGGATATCTTCATGTGTCTGTTCTAACTGCACAGAAAAATTTTTAAAAATTGAGATTATTTTAAAGAATTATAATTTTAGTCACCTGGATTAATCATTCTAAGACTACTTGGCTTAACTATTGCATTTATATAAATAAAATATTGTTTCTTACATCTCAATGACTATAATTTTTATTTACAGAATCTCTAATTGTATTTTTGACAACCATCTGTTTTTGTCTCCCTTCTGCCAGCTTTTATTTAATAATTTCTTACTAGTTTATACAGACTTTTTCTTCACCTTACCTCTTTGAAGATCAAACATTTTGAATATAAGGTCACTGTTAGATGGCCATGTAATCTTCAGTTTCTTTTAAGTGAATATATTTCCCAGTTGTTGATACATCTGTTGTCCTTCATTGTGGTAATTTTTCTTATATGCTTTGTAATTTTTGTTTGCAGGCTGATCTAGACTGTGATTTATTTTGTTTCTTGTTCCACCCTCAGTCTCTACTCACCCCACTGCCACCACCACTAACAACCTCATATGTCTATATGTAGCAACTTTGTGGGAGTTGCAACCTAGTTCTCAGTCTGGAATGCAGGCTCAACACTCCTTACTACAATTATGATGGTGTATCAGAGCTTTGTATAAGATATTGCACCAAGTAGCAGCGAGTTGTTGCTTTTCTCAACCTTTTCTTATGGGAAATGGGCAATCTCACCCATTTGTTTCAAGCAGAGAAATCGAATATACAAACAGACAACGGTCAGACCATATATGACAATAGAATTCTGATGCACAGCCACTGCAGCAATCATCCTGAGAAGCCACACCGCCAACTCTTTAGCAATTGACCCCAAACAGAATGGACTTGGTCAATGACTGCCCACTTCTCCAATTTTTGTCCCTACTGCTTGCTCAGGACCAGGAAAGCCAAGCCTGCCTCCACCAACTGATCATATGGGATACTCCACTTCTAGATAGTCTGCTTCTGGCTTCCCATATGCCAACAACCTCCAATCAGAGCATCCTGAAACCTTCTCCTTCATTCACTCTAAAACTTTCTCACTGCTTTGCCTGCTTTTGAATCTCTGCCAAACACAAATGATGGTGGCTAACTCCTTTGCAGAGCAAGCTCTGAATAAATATCCTTTGCTTATTCTCATTTGTGTGGTCTTTATTTATTTCTACAAAGCAGTGGATCTTTGTTTCTCCACATCAAATGGAATACTTTTAATTTAATTACTCTTACACTAAGGGAACACAAATTCTGTACATCCCAGCTTGTTTCAAGATTCTGATGCTTGATTTCAGCTTTATTTCAGGGAGACATGTATCATATTTCTGAGCAGAGCCTCTTTTTTTTAAATTTTATCTAACATAGCTTTGTGTCTGAAATAGAGGACTTCAAAACATGAACATGTGATGTCATCTTAAATATAAGTTTCACCTTTTGCTCCATAACATTTTTTGCATCTGACTGTGATAAGCAATAGGCAGATAGTTCCCGTTTGTATGACGGACACATGGATAATAATCATTATTATATTAATGAAGGCACATGATGCTGACATATTGTTAATAACTATTACATTGATGATACTTGCCATTAATGGCTAATAGTGTGTATTCAATGGCCACCTTAATAAGATGGTTTGTCTTTCTGCCAATTGATCAAAAAACAGTTGAAATACGGAGCTGTGAATAATCAATGCAAAATAATGTGTAAGAGTCGATGTACAACTTACTTGCAATTAATTTTTATCACAAAACCTGACTGAAGGATAGTTTCAATACAAAAGGATTTATATAAGAACTTCAAAGCAAAAAGGAAGGCAGAATATTCTGACATTGAAAGACACCAATGGGAATATTAAGCCTCCATTTAATTCCCAGAAAATATTAATAAAATATATCATAACATTCTAAACACTACACTCTTCTACAATAATATTAGCTAAATCTGCAAGGAATAATGTGTGCTTGTATGTGTGCATATATGAGTGTCTGTGCATGTGTATGTATAAAGAAGGTGAGATAGATGGGGGAGAAAAAACACCAACGGACAAACTGTTAAAATATAGATCTAGCACACATGGATGCCTTCACTTGCAGATTTCTCACCGAGATTCATCCCACTACAAAAGCGAGCAATTGTTTGATGTAACAATTATTTTTCCCACCAGTTTAGTGAAGCCTGAAAATCACAATGAGACATGAATTCCTACGTCCTAAAATTTTTTCACTGTTAAAATGAAAGCCCCAGGAAATTGGATCACTGTGATGGCAGTGAAAAGACCTTAGGCAATTTACTTAACCTCTCTGAGCCTCAGTTTCCTAAATGATAAAATAGAAATAATGCTAGCTGCATCATAAGGTTATGAGGGTTAAATGAGATAATGTGTTTATATGTGTGTGTGTATGTATATATATATACACACATATATATAAGTGTGTATGTGTATATATATATACACATATATATAAGTGTGTGTGTATATATATGGTGGCTAACTCCTTTGCACAGCAAGCTGTGCAATGTATATATATATGTGTGTGTATGTATATATATACACACATATATACACACACATGCATATGTAAGTGTGTATATATATACACACACACAAACTTATATGTATATACACACACACACTTATATATATGACATATGTATCAGGGTACATGCACAGTACATGCTCAGTAAATGGTAACTTGAGATGGTAGGATTTTGCTCAACTATTTGTCCCTTTCAAGTATCTTCAAATGTACAAATAAGCCTGGCATTTAGCATACAACAAGCTTTTAACCTGTTCTCACCACCTTCTCTAAACTGTTATCAACCTCTTATTGTGTATGAGTTCACCAAATATTTTTCTGAGAACCTGTTTTGATAAAGGAAGAAGATCAGAAGAACATTAACTGTCTTCCGGGGAGAAGGAGAGCCATCACTAGTGGTAGAAGAGGGACTGACAGAAAGGCTGGGGGAGATAAATGTTACACGCACTTGCCAAGTTTATCTTTTAACATAGAAAAACTTCAGATTTCTATTTTTCTTTTCATATAACTATTATCTAATTAGATTACTAACTTTATATTTTCGGTGTGATGTATCCAAGATAACTGTCATCTTCATCATAAAGGTGGTTAGCTAGCATATGATGTACCCTAATCAAGAATCCATCTCCAGGGGAGGGTATTAAGCATCTTCAATGTAGATATAAAAAGATACACCCTGAAGGTGTGTTAATCAGCATGAGAGATGTTAAAAATGAATTTTTTCATTGGTGAAATAAATGATGTTCAAGATATATAATTGAAATATTGCTTAGGTCTCGTTGTTCTTGTATGAACAAGGCTCAAAAGTCTGGCAAACCCCATAACCTAACACTTTTAACGCAGTCCTTAAAGTCTCAAGTCCCATTGGTTCTTGTATTAGTCTGTTTTCACACTGCTATAAAATGGTCCCTGAGACTTCGTAATTTACAAACAAAGGAGGTTTAACTGACTCACAGTTCTGCAGGGCCGGGGAGGCCTCAGGGAACTTACAATCAAGGCAGAAGGCAAATGGAAAGCAGAGCACATCTTACCTGGTATCAGGGCGGGATGAGTGCCAAACACTTTTAAACCATCAGATCTTATGAGAACTCACTCATTATCATGAGGACAGCATGGGGGAACCCATTCCCACAACCAATCACCTCCCACCAGGTCCCTCCCTTGATATGTGGGGATTAAAATTAGAGATGAGATTTGGGGGGACACAGAGCCAAATAATATCACTTGTGTATAACTTTGTTTCATGGAAGACTCTCTTCCCTGAACTATCTACAAAGCTGGATGATCCAGCACCAAGTACTAGCCAGAGGAACTAAAGAAAGAGAGTGGGTTTACTCCTGAACTACAAGAACAGATAGTATGATTGTGTCTGCCTGCTTTTGTTAACAAGTGTATCGATGGCAAAATCAGATCTAAGATTGGTTTTTATATCACCTAATAGAAAGATCTTGGGTGAAGCAACCATATAAAGCACCAACTGCCTCTGATTTACAAAGGCTATTAGAAAATGACAAAAGAACCAAACACTTGCTGAATGGATAAATTAGGTCAGTTTCTAAAACCTGGTGCAAACGAGTGCGTGGAATTTGTGGTATTTACCTAGGGTTAGAGCAAAAGGAGGAAACAGATCACTTTCCATAAGAGAAAAAAATTGTAAGTTATTAAGGTACTATGATATTGTTGTCATTTTTAAGTGTTCATGTTTTGTAAAGGAGGAAATAAAGAATCCTGGATAATATTTCTAAGTAAGTCTATAGTAGTGCATTGGAAAAAAAAGGGGGGGAACAAGAGTGGGGATCAGAAAACCAACTTAACATAGGAGACAATTATAACCGTCCTTCTGAAGGATTTGGCTTGGCTTTAAGATTTTAAGAAGTTGGACGTAAACTTCCAAGTTTACTGTTCAAGTTACTAATCATAGGAAATAATTTGCCAAAACAATATAAAGAGATCAGAATTGGTGGTTTAATATACACCAAACATATAGACACCATTATATTAACAAAAATAAAATTAGGTTAGAAAATCTCCTTACAATGAAAGACTTGGAACATATTTTAAAAGTCTAGAGTCCCCTTCAAAGATGGAGAAGTCTTCTCTAGCTCTCCCATGAAATGAATATTTACATCCTAGTGAAAGAGCTGTCTCAAAACTACTAACAGATTTAGTGCAAATGAGAGAAATTATTCCTAAAGCCAAAGATAAAGCTAGCCATGAATAGATGGGATTACTAATATACTTAACACCCCACGGGAACTAAAGTAGAGTTTATAATTCAGTAATTGACTTTAATAAGGGAAATGAAATTCATATCACTTTTCACCAAGATGATTTCTCTAACATATGAAGGATCACAGAGACCAGGAAAGGGCAGTGGTAGATGTTCTGCATTTAGTAGGCTAATGCTCATGTGAAAGTAGGCTTACTTTAGCCATTCACTGATAGAAATGGGGCAGAAAATCCTCTAGAAGAGTGCAGACAGTCAGACGAGGTAGTTAAGCCAGTACCAAGAAAACAACCTTAGATTCCAGAGGTAGTACCTACTGAGGCAATCCTAAGAGGCAGTAAAGTTTGGTGATAAGGCCTCTGAAGGCAAAATAAACCAAGCTGAGCTTGTTTCTAAAGATTTTTTAGGGAAGAAGCCCACTACAATTAAAGTTGGTAAGAGATCCACAAAGGTATTCTGAGATTGAGGTGGTCCCTGATTATCTTGCAGGATTTAATGAAGGAATTAATATGAATTGGCAGTGGCTCCCAAGTGATGATTGCTTTAGGAAATACAGAATTGTTTAAAAGTTTGAGTAATATAGACACGCTTGTTTTGAAAACTAAAACTAAACTGGAAATATTCTGTTGATCGAGCAGGAAAATTGAACTGGTAGTAGCCAAAACCTCAGAAGAAATCATTGAAATTGATAGATTGGGGTGGAAAAGGCATTTTGAATTTGATAAACAAGTTAAATATTTTTATGATTACTGTCAGAAGAATAAATAGCAACATGTCAAACTGCCTGACGGAAAGTATGTATTTAACACAATGACTATGGAAAACAGTATGAAAGCTCCTCAAAAAATTAAAAATATAATTACCATATGATCCCCAAATCCCACTTTTGGGTATATATTTAGAAGAATTGAAAGGAAATATCTCAAAGATCTATTGTCCAGCCAGGCTCATAGCAGCGATATTCACAATAGCTAAACTGTAAAAGCAACCGAAGGGTTCATGGACATGTAAACAGAGAAAATGTGGCATATACATACAATGAAATATTATTCGGTCTTAAAAAGGATATAAATTTTTATACATGATACAATATAGATGAACCTTGAGGACATTATGCTTAGTGAAATAAGACTGTCACAAAAAGAGAAATATTTCTCATGATTCCACTTACATGAGATATCTGGAGTAGTATAATTTATAGAAGTGAAAACCTAGAAAGGTGGTTACCAGGGGCTGTGGAAAAGGGAAATGGAGCGTTGTTGTTTCATGGTTACAGAGTTTCAGTTTTGCAAGATGAAAAACTTCTGGATGTTGCTTTCATAACAATGTGAATACACTACTGAACTGTACACATAAAAATGGTTAAAATGATAAATGTTATGATGTGTGTTTTCACCGCTATTTTAAAAACTTAAGGAGTAATTGATAACTGAACATTTGTGTACCTACCATGTAAATCAAGAAATAAAACATTACCAGAAAAAAAGTATATATTTAATATTCACAGAAAGCAAACTGGGGTAAAACAAGCTGAAACCTCCTCAAAGTATCTGAAAGATATAGGGGTAATTTAAAAGTCTATATATCCACTTAATTCTCAGAGATAATGGTGCAAAAAAAGCCTTACATCAATTATTACTTGTTATAGCAGTGGGTATACTGACTACATTGTCCAAATAACTAATGAATTAATTAAAGCCCCTGAAAAATATTTAGTTGTAATTGACTTCCCTATTATGTTTTTCAATGTATCAACTGAAAAGGAAGGTAAATTAATTAATTTACCTTAATATTAATTAATTTAATTAATTACTAAACTAAATATATGATCTAGTGGATTGTCATTATTACTATACTCTGCTTGACAATTATTATAAATCAGTGTAGACTGATGTTGCCTCCCTCTTCTGCGTTCCTCCCTGTAAAATACTTGGTTTTTAAAGATGATATAATCTTTCCCAATTTTTTTTTTTTTTTTACAGTGTGCTGCTGTAGACTTAGCAATATCCTCCAGGAGTCTTTCTTTCCTCCTCAGGGGCTGGGGGAAATGCAAATGGAGAATTGTTTTTTTATGGGTATATAAGTTTCTACTTTTTTGTTTTTATGAATTTTACTACTCTAGATATCTCATATAAGTGGAATCACATAATATTTGTCTTTTTGTGACAGGCTTATTTTACTTAGCATAATGTCCTCAAGGTTTATCTTTATCAAGGTTTACATCCTCAGGTTTACCTTCCTGCCATCATTTGCCAAGGAATGCAGTATACATTTGTCTTCCTTCAGTAAGGTTATATCATCTTTAAAACCTAAATATTTTATAGGGAAGAGGGGAAAGGAGGGAGGCAACATCAGTCTACACTAGTTTAAAATAGTTTTCGAGAAGAGTATAGTATTAGTGGCAATCCACTAAACCATATACTTAGTTTAGACACGTAAATCACCAAACTTCAGGAATTCTGCATCTTAGTGTCTGGAAATGGTCCCTGCAGAGTCATGAAAGGACCAGCTGTGTATCAGTCAGGACTTAACTGCAGATAACAGAAATCTCTCTTGTTATTACAGACAAATAAAAGTGTTCACTGCAGGAATTAAGTATTTGTGAAATTGTAGAAGGGTCAAAGGACCAACCTCCAGTCTGAGCTTTGGATTAATTACCAGAACACCACCAGAGAACAAACTTGTCGAGGAAACTGCTCTCGCGCTCTCAGTCAGGAAGATGAAGAGTCAAGAAGCTGCCATATGGGGCCACTGTCTGAACTTCTGGATCCAGGTGCGCACTATGATCCAAGGAGCTGAAAGCTGTTGCTGTACCACTACCTGTAGTTGTAATTTGAAGATTATGGCGGCTCCAGAGCCATGCTACATCTACCGGATGTACACCAGCAAAAACGATGCATCATTGACTGCAGCTTCTCATCTTCCACTTAATTTCTAAATAAGATCTAATCTGCAAAACCTAAACCTCTTCAGAAACAAGGGAGTCTATGAAGTATAATTTCTGGCTTTTCAGCTTCTATGGGGTAGGAAGGAGGTTAGGATAAACGTTGGATGAACCCAACTGTGGTTTCCTCCAGAATTCAGAAAGATTTCAGTGCAAGAAATTACAAGGGGCAAAGACTACTTACAACCCCCTAGAAAATAAAATACAGATGCATAGACAAATGGAACAGAACAGAGAATGCAGAAATAATGACACACACCTACCAACATCTGATCTTGGATAAAGTTGATTAAAAACAAGCAACGCTGAAAGGACTTGCTATTCCATAAATAGTGCTGGGATAACTGGCTAGCCATATGCAGAAGATTGAAACTGGACCCCTACCTCTCACCATACACAAAAATTAAATCTAGATAGATTAAAGACTTAAATGTAAGACCTAAAACTATAAATTCTAGAAGAAAACCTAGGAAATACACTTCCAGACTTGGTCCTAGTCAAGTAATTAATGATGAAGACCCGAAAAGCAATTGCACAAAATCAAAAAATAGACAAATGTGATTTAATTAAACTAAAGAGCTTCTGCACAGCAAGAAAAATACTCAACAGATTAAAAAGAGAGCCTAACAGAAACAGAACCACCCATTCAACAGAATTTGCAAACTATGCATCTGAAAAAGGACCAATACCCACAACTCCAAGGAATTTAAACTAATCAATAAGAAAAGCACAAACAACCCTATTAAAAAGAGGGCAAATGACATAAACAAACACTTCCCCAAAAAGACATACAAGTGGCCAAGAAACATAAAAAACAATGCTCAATAACACTAATCATCTGAGAGACCCGAATCAAAACCAATATGAGACACCATCTCACTCCAGTGATAATGGCTGTTATTAAAAAGTCCAAAAAAATTTTTGGTGAGGTTGCAGAGTAAAGGGAACACCTATACACTGTTGGTAGGAATGTAAATTAATTCGGCCCCTGCAGAAAGCAGTTTGGAGATTTCTCAAATAAAAACACGCCTACCATTCAACTGAGCAATCCTACTACTGGGTGTATATTCAAAGGAAAATAAATCATTCCACCAAAAAGACACACGCACTCACATGTTCATCATGGCACTATTCACAATCACAAACACATGGAATCCACCTAGGTGCCCATCAACAGTGGATTGGATAAATAAAGTGTAGTCCATATACACCATGGAATACTATACAGCCATAAAAAGAATGAAATCATGTCCTCCGAAGCAACATGGATGGAGCTGGAGGCCATTATCCTGAGCAAATTAATGCAGAAACAGAAAACCAAATATCACATGTTCTCACTTATAATTGGGTACTAAATCTTGGATTCACATGGACATAAAAATAGAAGCAACAGGCGTTGGGGACTCCAAGAGAAGGGAGGGAGGGAGGGGAGCTAGGGCTGAAAAACTTCCTATTGGGTGCCATGTTCACTATCTGGGTTATGGGATCAATACAAGTCCACACTCCCCCATCACACAATATACACTTGTAACAAACCTGCACACGTATCCCCTCAATTAAAAATTATTTTTCTAAAAAAATGAAAAGCATTTCTCTGCCTGTTAAGACACTTGTAGATGCCATGATTGAGTGTTTATTCTATTGTAATATTTTCCCTCTGTCTACTGCAATAGTCATTCTCTCCTATTACAATTGTCCCTTCCCCCTTATTGCAATAATCTTTTCAAATAACGTCCTTAAATTCCAAACAATTTTTTGTTAATTTGACAACTGTTAAAATATTCTCTGCCGCTGGAACAGAGAGAACTTGTGCCACTTGCCCAGCTGGATTTCAGAACTGCTATGAACCAATGACTGCTAAGTATTTCCTGCACCCCATCCCATCCCCTTCTGGAAGGACAGTATTTATTGCAGTTATAACCCTGTCTTGCCATTGTATGTTGGGTGTGGAAGGAAGGTAATATGTTTTAGTTCACAGACTTCCAGAGTTGAGCAACTGCAACCAAGGAGCTTCATTTGCATCTGGACCTGATTGATATGAGATTCTGAACTCAAACTGAAGCCCAATGCCTTCATGGAATAAGACTTCAGCGCTTTGACGGGGGCGGGGGTGGGGTTACATGTATTCTGCATGCAAGAGAGACATGAACCATAAAGTGTCAGATGGCAAACTATGGTAGACTATTACACTGGTGGCCTCCTATCAACTGTACCCTTTTCTAGCCCCCTCCCACACTGACTCTGGGCTTGGTCATGTGACTTGCTTTGACTAATGGGCAACGTGTTTGTTTCTTAAGACGAATGTAAAAGAGTGCCACAAACAAGTTGGCTTAAAACAGAAATGTATTATCTCTTAGCTCTAGAGGCTAAGGTGTCAGCATGGTCACGCTCCCTTTTAAGGCTCCAAGGGAGTGTTCTTTCTTGCCTATTCTTAGCTTCTGGTGGCTCTTGGCAACCGTTGACATTCATTGGTTTATAGCCGCATCACTCTAATCTCTGTCTCCACATGGCCTTTTTTCTATGTCTCTGTGTCTGTCTCTCCCTATTAGGACACCAGTCATTTGAGTAAGGGCCTACTCTAATCCAATATGACCTCATATTAACTTGATTGCATCAGCAAATACACTGTTTCCCAATAAGGTCATATTCATAGGTTCCAGGTGAACATTAATTTTGGGGAAACGTTATTCAAACTGGTACAGGAGGGTAACAAGCATAATGCAAGTAGTGTCTTGCTATCTGGAGCAAGAAGCATGTGAAAAAGCCCTGGGAGGTGAGATATCATATAAAGAGAGGGGCCACTTAGTAGAAAAACTAGGGCACTTCAGCCAACAGTAAACAGCAAGACTACAGGTATGTGAAAAAAATCTTCTTGGAGCTTCCAAGCCTGGCCTAGCCACCAGCTAAAAACAGCCGAATGAGAAACCCCAGTTGACACTATGTGGAGATCAGAACTGCCCAGTGAGCACATAGAATGATAAGAAATAGTAAATAGTTGTTGTTTTACACCACGGAGTTTTAATGTACCTTAAACAGTAACAGATAACTAAAATTGTGGACAACTTCAATTACTGAATTAGCATAATAACTTTATTAAATGACCCAAAGGAACCTAAATTGATTGGAGACCTAGAGACAGATGTTCAAGAAGCTATGGCCAAACACCAATTTGAGAAGTATTTAAATAGACTGAGGAGAACTGAATATTTATGGGGCTTTCTTGTACATATTGTGTCCAAGGTAACCAAATGTGGTAGACAAATTTCTAAGAATTACCCCCCGATGAATGAAAACTGTGAATATGATTTTACCGTATGATTATGTTACCTCACATGCCAAAAAGGTGGGTCTAATCTGATCACACAAATATTTCAAAAAAAGAAAGCTTTCTTTATATGGTGACAGAAGAGAAAGTCCAAAAAATTTGAAACATGAGAAGGATTTGACGCAGAGGGCTTCTAGGAACAGAGAATTGGCCCCTGGCTGACAGCCGGCAAGGAAAAGGCAGCTTCAGACTACAATCACAAGGAACTAGATTCCACCAACAGTCCAAGTGAGCTTGGAAACAGATTCTTCTGTTTCCAGAGCCTCTACATAACAGTCCATCTCAGTCAGTAGTGTGATTTCAGCCTTGCCAACAGAGAACCCAGTTGAGCCTGCTTTGACTTTCAAATGTGAGATAATACATGGTTGTTGCATTAAGCCAGTAAGTGTGTGGTAATTTGTCATACAGTAATAAAAAATAATACACCAAATCACTTCAATTGATGGGGAAAATGTTACTTTACAAGACACATCCAGCTAATATTGGAAAGTCACCATATGCAATCCCTAATGAGACTATTAATTATGCAAGGGTTTTCAACTGCTATTAAAACCATTAAGTGAATGGGTATTAGATTAGACATTTGTGTGGTGTCAGGTAAAAACATACAGATAATTTTCTGGTCACAAATGGAGAAACAATGGAGGAACCAGGCTTTTAATCACATAGCCAATCTCAGGATGACTAATAGAGAAACAGTGAGGTGTCATGTCTCCCTATGTAACATAATATAAAATAAATAGCATCACCTATATTCTCACATTGCTAAAAGTTTTCAATTTGATTTTCATTAGAAAGGATAGAGCAGCAAATTAAACCACAAGAAAATAGCAAAACAAATTTAGAAATTGGGTCATTCAACAGAACAAATGACATGTACTTTCCAGCCAGTCAAAATTTTCTCACAAAAGCAACTGCTAAAAATGAAATAAACAAACAAAACAAAACTTAAAGTTATACAACTTGTGATCTTAAATTAGATATTAGTCCACACTGATCTATTACCAAAAAAAAGTGTTTGTGATAACTAAGGTAGAATATTATTTTAATCCTCACTTTACAAGTTCTAAGAACCCAACTACCTGATATCTTTGGAGCAGTGCATGAAGGCTAGATGCTGTTAGTTTTGTGACTCTCCACATCGTGCAGGTCCAGCCCCAGGCCAAAATCCAATGGGTGATCCCTTAGGCCCACCCATAGGTAATAACAAGGCTTTTTTGGCAGGACTCATGGGAAAAAGCTGTCTTCCCCACAGCAGACAAGGCACACAGTCTGGAAGGAGTTATAGGCCTCCAAGCTGACCACACTGTTAAGCATATCTGCAATCCTGGCCCAGACACCGTCATTAGGAGGCCTTCTTATCAATGAGTCCTTGGCTGAGATTTTTGCTGAGACCACCTTATCAGGGACATTTGAAATCATTTTTTTCCACTCTGACTCAGTCTTCAGTACTTTTCTACCGCTAGCCTTTTTCCTCCTACCTCCCCTCAGGCAACTGGGTTCATAAAATGGCAGGAGCCTTTTGCTAACGGCTCCCTTGGCAGTGAGATGTTTCCTCTTCTGTGCGCTAATACATCTGACCTTCACTCAGTTCTATTCCATGAAAATAAAATAAAATAAAATGCCAAGAAACTGGCATGTTGGAGATGGAATTTGTCCTTCTGAAACTCATGTGTTGAAGTCCTGACCCCTGGTACCTGAGAATGTGACCTTACTTGTAGCTATTGTTTTTAACAGGTAATCAAATGAAAATGAGATCATTAGGGTGTGCCCTCGTCCAACATGACTGATGCCTTTATTAAAAAATGAAACTTATATACACAAACAGGGAGAATGCCGTGTGAAGATAAAAGCAGAAATCAGGATGATATGCTTACAAGTCAGAGAAAGCCTAAGATTGCTGGAAAACCATGAAAAGAAAAGAGAGGCATAGAAGACGCCCTCATCCCGCTACCCTCAGAAGGAATCCACTCTGTCAACACCTTGATCTTGAACTTCTGGCCTAAAAATCTTTCAGACAAAAAATTTCCCTTGTTCAGGCCACCCAGGTTGTGGTACTGCATTACAGCCTCCTTAGGAAACTTACACACATCTTCCTGGGCTCCTGTTTATGCTACCACAGAAGGTGAATCAAGGCTTGTTATTTTCACTTTGGCTTGTTTTAATTGACCACCTTGATACCCGGCAGCTCAGCTCTCTCCAGCTCAGCCCTTGACAATCTATTGCCTGCCTGACTATAGGTTTCCTATTATTGCAATATCTTCGCATCCACCAGTAAATGATATCCACAGTACAAAGAGCAAGCAGAGTGTCTAAAGTCAGAGAACAGGCTTTCTCTGAGCTACGTAACATAGCTTATGTAGTTTTATTTTGGCCTGCCAGTTTATGAAAGTTTGTACGCTTGTCAGAATTTTGTCAAACACTTCTTTTCATAACATATCACTTGCTAAGGAGGCTGTGACAGGACAGGGTGGGGGATATAGTGAGGGAAATGTATAACTCACACTCTCTGATTATCAGGGTCTACCTGAATATTTACTGAAAGAAACTATCAGTTGCTTAATTGTCAAGTCAGCTTAAGTCACTTGATAAACTTGCATTTAAACATTTTTACTTGTAGGATTTATTTCTCTGCAAATATCTTGCCTTCAAAATTAATGGTCCTTGAGTTTTAATTGGAATAACTTGTTATTTCTTTAGAACTATGTCTCTGAAACCTCTTTCCTCCTTGCGTGTGATCTCCCAGAGGGTAACACTCCCATCTCTGATAAACACTATATTTATAAGACTGCTGTATCAGACTTTACCAACACAATCTTGTTCTTTTTCTGGGATTTACCTACAAACAAGGAACCCCAACAATGCTTCACTAACACTTGCATAGGAGGAATCAAAAGACCTAGATTTTCATTCTTGCTTTACCGCTGAACTACACTGTGGCCTTGTGCAATCTAATTAAACATTCCTCATGTTAAAGATAAATTACACTGAATTTTTGTTAGCTGATTTTTCTTTTCAAATTGTGTTATTGGCTATAAGGCTACTTAGAACTCAGGGAAGTAAATAGGACTGGTACAATGTTTTGATTTTATAGATGAGGCCACTAAGACACAGGTTAGAAAACCTGCCTCAAACCACAAAACTATGGTAGATCTAGGATCCAAACCCAGTCCTTGAGTGTATGAAAATATACTCTCAGGTTTCTCCCAGCACCATAATTCTATGATTCAGTACATGAGCGTTTATTAAACCAAAAATCCTTAGGTCACAATAATCTTCCATGCTTCGATCTCTCGTGAAATTGGAGTAAAAAATATATAAGGACGAGTCATGTGTAATAGCCAACAGTAAGAATAAAATGTATATAAGACGTATCACTTTTTCTAATGGGGTAATATTTTGTATTTATACACACTGGGATATGAAATGTCAGAAAAAAGACAGTAATTAAAAATAAACAAATAGAAATAATCTCTACTTTTGTTTTCCCCCTTTTAAAAGTGACTTCAAATCAAGTACGAATACAGCAAATATGATTATAATATTACTGTATACCAAAACAAATGTCCAAACTTCCACTGATATTACACTAATATCAAGCAATTTTAAATGCAAGCTCACAGCACACACAGGAGAACTGACAAGCTCTTAAGTTATTTCCAACAAAATTTGACCAATAGACAGATATATTTCCCAGCATGCCAAAAATCAAAGCAATATAGCATGATGATTAAATTCTAGTCACTACTAGGAGCACTTAATATTAATGGTAAAACAACTCCTATTAAATCATGTAGCTATCTGCTATAAAAGTTAGCCTGTAAATTTTAGATAATCATTTGTAGCCAAGTCTAAGTGGTAAATCACATTATAACACCCAATTCCTATGTATACCACCTGAAAGTTTCAGAAAGAGCATGAATACAACTAAATTGCTGTGCTGGGTTTTTTTTTTTTTTTTTTTTTTTTTTGCCTTTTATTAAGCCCGAACTTTCAGTGTGATATCTAAAAAATTATTGTGAAGGTTAATATTAAGAAATTTTTCCCCTATGTTTTCTTCTAAGAGTTTTGCAGTTTTAGATTTTTACATTTAGGTTGTTAATACATTTTGAGTTGATTTTTGTGTGTGATGTAAGATAAGAATTTATTGTCATTCTTCGGCATGTAGATAGACAATTTTCCCAACAAGATTTATCGAAGAGACTATCTTTTTTCCATTGTGTCATCTTGGTGGGCTTGTCAAAGATTAGTTGACAGTATATGCTGGGGTTTATTTCTGGGCTCTGTTTTCTCTTTCACTGGTCTATGTTCCTATTTTTATGCCAGTATTATACTATTTTGATTACTATAGCTTTGTAATATAACTTGAAATCAGGAAATGTAATGCTTCCAACTTTGTTTTTCTTTCTTAATATTGTTTTGGCTATTTGGTGTCTTTTGTGTTTCCATATGAATGTTACATTTTGTTTTCTATTTCTGTGAAAAATGTCATTGCAATTTTGGTAGGGATTGCTTTGAATTTGTACTTCTCTGGGTAAGTGGAACTACATCAGACTTAAAGTTTTCTGCACATAAAATAAAACAAACAACAAAACAAGAAAAGCAGACTACTATTGGAAGAAAATACTTGCAAGCCATATGTTTGATATAAGGTTAATACCTAAAATATATAAGGAACTCATACAACTGAATAGCAAAAAAGCAAATACCCCAATTAAAAATGGGCAAAGGACCTAAGTAGACATTTTTCCAAAGAAGACATAGAAATGACCAACAGGTTTATGAAAAAGTGCTCAGCATCACTGATCATCAGGGAAATGCAAATTAAAACCACAATGAGATTTCACCCCACACTTGTTAGAATGACTACTATAAAAAGGACAAAAGATAATAATTGTTGACAAAAATATGGAGAAAGGGGAATACTTGTACAGTGTTAGTGGAAATTTAAATTGGTACAACTATATGGAAAAGAGTAAGAGAATCCCACAAAAAATAAAAATAGAACTACTATATGACCGATCAGTCTGTTTTCTGGGCATACACTCAAAAGAAATGAAATCAGCACCTTATAGAGATATCCACATTCTCATGTTCACTTCAGCATGATTCATGGTAGCAAAGATACAAAAACAACCTAACTGTCAGTTGACAGATGAATGGATAAAGAAATTGTGGTATACGATGGAATATTATTCACACCTAAAAAAGAAGATCCTGCCATTTGTGACAGCATGAACAAATCTCGAGGACATTATGCTAAGTGAAACAAATCAGACACAGAAAGGCAGACAGCACATGATCACACTTATATACAGAATATTTCTTTAAAAAGTTAAATAAACAGAAACAGAGAGTAGAATGTGATTACCAGGGTCAAGGAGGAAGAACAGATTGAGATAATTAGGTAAAAGGCTAAAAATTTGCCATTAGGTAGGACAAATAAGTCAAGGGATGTAACGTGTAGCATGAGGACTATTGTTAATAATATTTTATTGTGTACTGAAAATTTGCTAAGAGATTAGATTTTAGATACTCTTGCCACACAAAAAAAGGTAATTATGGTAATTACAGATATATTAATTTGTTTGACTGTAGTAATCATTTCACTGTGTATATCTATATCAAAACATCACGTTGTACACCTTACACATGTAGAATAAAAATAAATTTTTGAAAAAATAATAAATTATTTCTATTTGTCAGTGTTGAGGAGTCTAGCTCTAGGCCAAAATCTTCACGTGATCTTTCTAGCCCAATCACAAGCAATTACAAGCCTTTACCTGGCAGGCCTCATGAGGTAAAGCTATCCTCCCCACACCAGACTTGGGGCACGGTCATTACATTGCAAAGACTATAGTCTGAATGTTTCTGTCCCCCTAAAACTCATATGTTGAAACTCTAACCCCTAAGTGATAGTTTTTAGAGGTGGGACTTTTGAGAGGTGGTTAGGTCATGCAGGTGGAGCCCTAATTATTGGGATTATCACCCTTATAAAAAGAGGCCCTAGAGTGATCCCTCATCCCTCCCACAATGTGAGGACAAAGCTAAATGGTACCACTATGAATCACAATTTGTGGCATCACTAGACATTATCTACCTTCATCTTGGAGTTTCCAGCCTCCAGAATTGTGACAAATACATTTCTATTTCTTATAAGCCACTCAGTCTATGGTACTTTGTTGTAGTAGCCACAACAGAATAAAACAGCAACTTCCTGGAGGGAATTGCAGTCAGGAACTCAGCCCCTCACTGGTACAGCCATCCTCATACACATATCTGCATTTTCAGCCCCGGAGCTTTCATTCAGATGTCCCCTTATCAGGTGCTTCAGCTAAGGCACTCCCCAGGTGCCTCCAATGAGACATCTTTGTTGAGGAGCCTTGACTGAGGCACTGTATTAGTCCATTCTCACACTGCTATGAAGAAATACCTGAGACTGGGTAATTTATAAAGGAAAGAGGTTTAATTGACTCACAGTTCCGCATGGCTGGTGAGGCCTAAGGAAACTTACAATCATGGCAGAAGGCACCACTTAACAGGGTGGCAGGAGAGAACAAATGCGTGCCTGCAGGGGAAATACCAGATGTTTATAAAACCATCAGATCTCGTGAGAACTCACTCACAATCATGAGAACAGCATGGGAGAAACCTCCCCCATAATCCAATTACCTCCACCTGGTCCCGCCCTTGACATCTGGGGATGATTACAATTCAAGGTGAGATTTGGGTGGAGACAGAGCCCAACTATATCAGGCACTTTGTCCCCATTCTGGATCAGTACTCTCCCATTCCTACCCTACCCCCTCTCGTTGCCCCCAGCAACCTTCAGAAAGAAAAAAAAAAAAGCTCTGTGTTCAGGGCTCCTGAGGAATGAGTGATTACCCCTTCTTGCACTGCATGTCATCTAATTCTCATCCAGTGCCATTCTGTGGGTGAAAATGAAATACTGGGGAGCTGACACCTATTTCTTTTGTCTTTTTCCTGTACTGTCCTAATACATGAATAAAGGATTGATTTTGCTATTTTCAGTTTTGCTTCTTGTCCTAGATTACCACTGACTACCTTGACACCAGGCAGGTTGACAAATAGGTACAGCACATGTGGTCAATTGAGCACAATGCTGTTCTGAAATACAAAAATGTCTGAGGGTTCCATGAGGCAATCTTGGTAAGTGCTAAAGAAATATCTCCAAGAGCTGGAGGCACTTCACCAGTGGGTCTCGAGGAGTTTGATGGATCGTTTACAGAAACTTTTTAGTTCTGAGGGGGAACACTGGTCCTTCTTTTTTGCTTCTGACTACCTGGACGAGCTCACCCCAGTGCATGGGGTCAAATCAGCAATATAAAAAAGGGTCCCTAAAGAACTAGGGAAGTAGTTTCTTAGCAACTGCTCATCGTCCTCTGGCAATAGGACCAGAGACTGCCAGAGGCCACTTGAGCTGAGCTGCACCAAATAAGTATTTTGTGCTCTAAGTAGGTCCCTGGTGCTAATAAACACCTTCTGTCACAACAAACTGTTGAGATTCAGTGAAAAAAAAAATATATATATATATATATATACACACACACATATACATATATCTCCCTCAAGGCTCACTTCTCCCAGTGGCTTTTCAGAGATATTCGAGAGTTGGTTAGTTCACCTCCATGATAAAGGAGATATAATTATTAAACTTATTAAGGGAGTTATGCCATGTGGTGCACGTTACTGCACAGCTTTTCCTTCAGGTGTCTTGGCAGTAGCCACTGCCAATTTAGTAGAGCATGAGCATCAGTAGAAGTGGTGCCACCTGCATGTTGTTTGGTGGCCAGAGGAGCCCATGCTACACTGACTCTGGCTTTGGGATATGGTAGCAATGCAGCTCCTGGTGCCTCCTCCCTCAAAGATTGACCAGCAGAAAGAGAGAGAGAGGACTGGGATTCCTACCTCAACACCACTGCTGTGCAGTGCCCGGTGGGGCAGGGTGTCCATGTTGCCTGCCCATGGCTTTCCAGGCACTACTTGCCCCATAGAAGTCTGAAATGTGCCCTAACCACCCTACCTTGAACCCCCACTTGGGGTCCCAGCCCAGAAACAGCTGCCTATCCTGGACATGTGTCTTCCTCGGCTCTCCACTCTCCTATCCCAGAAGAAAACTGATTGCTTGATATTGGACCATGGCAGGGGGCCTTAAGGGTACCTCCATTAGGGTCCCGACAATGACAGCCTCTGTGACTGATACAAGTGCTATCACCTTGACCCCTCCACTAAGTCTGAAGATAAAGAGATTTGCCAACCTTTACCCAGATCACTCAATAGGGTGAGACTTCTCTGTCTCTGGGGAGAGGATGGGACAAATGCCCTATATTGAAATCAGGATAATGGGGAGGGAGGGTAAAATTGCACCTCTTGGGTCTTTTGGATACCTATGCACAGGTAACTATGATTCCTGCAACCCCTGGCATAACAATAAAGTGGAAACAACTGATGCTGATTTAGGATCTAAGGCTACCACTACTGGGATCCTTGACAATGCCCAGGTGGGAGAGTGTCTTCTGGCCCCATAAACCTCCATTGTTATGGCCCCAGCTATTAAGAGCATTGTTGGTATAGATAAATTGTGTAATGTGCAATTCCATTACCATTTGCCCCAATACCTTGATTCAATTTCCAGCAGTAAGGTCCATCTAGTGGGCCATGTATAGGACCATGAACCCTCTCAATTACGAATGCCTAGTACTGTTATGTCCCCCAAACTGGCTGCCTAAGGGAGAAAAAACTTAACCACCCTCATTGTTAAGCTTAAGGAAGTCAAAGTTCTCTGTGAGACTACTTCTCTTTTCAATAGTCTTATATGGCCTTCTCTAGAGAAATGTCTATTCATATCCTTTCCCCACTTTGTAATGGGATGATTTGTCCTTTGTCCATTTTTTAATTGGGCTGTTTTTGTTGTTGTTGTTGAGTTTTAGGAGTTATTTATACATTCTTCATATTATCTTCTTATCAGATACATGGTTTGCAAATATTTTCTCTTGCTCCATAGGCTGCCTTTTTATTCTATTCATTGTTGTGTTTGGCACATTTTTATGTAGCCTCATTTCTCTATTTTTTGCTTGTATTGACTGTGCTTTTGTTAACGTATCTCCAGACTTTTTTTTTTTTTTTGCATTTGAGAGTTTCTGGTACAACAACTCAGACTGAGATTGAACTCACCTACAGAACCTGCTGCTTCTGCTCAGATAAGAGTGCTTTATGAGTCCTTCTAACTCCTCTCCTGTTCATCAATTTGGGGATCCTTCAGTGAGTACAACTCTAGAACCAGTGCTCCAGATGTCTTATGTGTTGAAGCAAAGTAAGAAGTACTTTTATTATTTGCGCAAATAGACTTTTCTTTGGCCCTTGTGTGATGTGTCTTCTGTTCTTCCTCAGCTCCACTGTTAAGGATTCTGTGAAGAAATCTCCTTGGCTCCTCAGGCAAGGACTGAATAAAGAAATAATCAAATGGGACTCCTCAGATCCTGTAAGGTCTTTCCTTAGGGTAATTGGCTGCTAAATCTATAGGTAATTCTCACTCTATTGAGTGCTCTCCATCCTCTTTTCCCAGTGACTATATGCACTGCTAATATAGCAGCAATTTGACTCCATATCTACAAAAATGATATGATTTCATTAAGTGCAGTTTGGAACTACAATGACTTCTCTAAGGTTTATCTCTGGGGGACCTTGAATCCTGTGCATCCAAAATTCCCTGTAAACAAATTACTTGCTTCTTCCTTTTGGTGAGGAAACTGAAAACTAACTTTCTCAGTTTAAATTTAATCGAGCCATTCAGCAATCTCAGTTTACCTTATCTGAGGCTATTTAGTCTCTCAAAGATTATCTGTTCTTCTCAAATGTCATTCCTTCACCTACTCCAATGTCAGCATCGCTTTGATTTTCTTCTTTATCCTCTCATTATTCCTCAACTTCTCCAAAACCATTCTGTCACCTTTGCCCCCAACTCTAAATTCCACTCACCCCAAACCTAACCTCACTTTGCCAGTCCTCCAGTTCCTTAGACGTACTCGTGACTTTGGTCTTATGTCTCTGATCATCAGCATACAAAGACAGGGAGCTGTAGGACTTTAATTGCCTCCTCCCTTCAATGAGATTTTATTCCCATGGCGTTTTCACCAATTATCGACCGGACAAAGATTCGAGAATGCAGACAGCAAGGAGATGAATCTTTTTCTAACTATAAACATCACTTAGGAAACATCTGGAACAATTATTCAGGTTCTAACCCTAGATAAGCAGTATAGAACCTGCTTTATTTATGAGTTTTGTTAATGGACTCTATGCTAAACTCAGAGAAACTATTTCAAAAACGTCATACTAATGTTAATGTCAACTCTCATCATGAACATTTGCTCCAAGAACTACTGCGGGAATATACCAGGAGCCAAGAGAATCCACAGACCCTTTGAAGGAAACAGATTGCTCCTGCAGGACCTGGGAGACAGCCCAAATACTGTGCTGGTATCCACGGCTGAGAGGCTCAAAGATGGTTCACATCACAGGACTCTGTGCAGACACTCCCCAGTACCAGCCCAGAGCCTGGTAGCCCTGCTGGGTGGCTAGATTCAGAAGAGAAATATCAATCACTACAGTATGGCTCTCGGGAATCCACACCCCTAGGAAAAGGGAGACAGTGTTACATAAGAGAGCACCCCATAGGACAAAAGAATCTGAACAGCAGCATTGAGCCTCAGATCTTCCCTCTGACATAGGCTATCCAAATGAGAAGGAAGCAGAAAAGCAATTCTAGTAATATAACAAAGCAAGGTTCTTTAGCACCTCCAAAATATCACACTAGCTCACCAGCAATGGACCCAAACCAAAAAGAAATCCCTGAATTGCCAGAAAAGAATTCAGAATGCCGATTATTAAACTAATCAAGGAGGCACCAGAGAAGGTGAAGTCCAACTTAAGGAAATAAGATAAAAGACACAAGATGTGAAGGGAGAAATCTTCAGTGAATAGATAGCATAAATAAAGGCAATCACAACTTCACAAAATAAAGGACACACTTAGAGAAATACAAAATATACTGGAAGCCCCAGCAAGAGAACCAAACAAGGAGAAGAAAGAACTTCAGAGCTCAAAGACAAGGTTTTTGAAATAATTCAATCCAACAAAGAGAAAGATAAAAAGAATAAACAAACCCTCCAAGAAGATTGGGATTATGTTAAATGACCAAATCTAAGAATAATTGGCATTCCTGAGGAAGAAGAGAAATGTAAAAGTTTGGAAAACATATTTCGGGGAATAATCAAGGAAAACTTTCCTGGCCTTGCCAGAAATCAAGACATCCAAATAAGAGAAGCTCAAAGAACACCTGGAAAATTCATCACAAAAAGATCATCAACTAAGCACACAGCATCAGATCATCTAAAGTTAAGATGAAAAAAAAAAAATCTTAAGAGCTGTGAGGCAGAAACACCAGGTAAACCTATTAGATTAACAGCAGATTTCTCAGCAGAAACCCTACAAGCTAGAAGGGATTGGGACCCTATCTTCAGCCTCATTAAACAAAACAATTATCAGCCAAGAATTTCGTATTCAGCAAAACTAAGCTTCACAAATAAAGGAAAGATACAGTCTTTTTCAGACAAACAAATGCTGAGATAATTCACCACTACCAAGCCAGCACTACAAGAACTGCTAAAAGGAACTATAAATCTTGAAACAAATCCTGGAAACACATTAAAATAGAACCCATTTAAAGGATGAATCTCACAGCAACTATAAAACAAAAATACAATAAATAAATAAATAAAACCAAGGTATTCTAGCAACAAATAGTATGATGAATAGAATAGTACCTCAAATCTCAATAATAACATTGAATGTAAATGGCTTAAGTGCTCCACTTAAAAAACACAGAAGTGCAGAATGGATAAGAATTTACCAACCAAGTATTTCCATGCAAATGGACACCAAGAGCAGCAGATGTAGCTATTTTTATATCAGATAAAACAAACTTTAAAGCAACAGCAGTTAAAAAAGACAAAGAAGAATGTTACATAATGATAAAAGGCCTTGTCCAACAGGAAAATATCACAATCCTAAATAAATATGAACCTAACACTGGAGCTCCCAAATTTACAAAAAAAAAATTACTGCTACACCTAAGAAATGAAATAGACAGCAACACAATAATAGTGGGGGACTTCAATACACCACTGACAGCACTAGACAGGTCATTAAGACAGAAAGTCAACAAAGAAACAATGAATTTAAACTATACCCTAGAACAAATGGACTTAACAGATATTTACAGAACATTCTACCCAACAAAAGCAGAATTTACATTCAATTCATCAGCCTTAAATGCCTATATCAAAAAGTCTAAAAGGGCACAAATAGACAATCTAAGGTCACACCTCAAGGAACTAGAGAAAAAAGAACAAACCAAACCTAAACCCAGCAGAAGAAAAGAAATAACCAAGATCAGAGCAGAATTAAATGAAATTGAAACAAACAAACAAACAAACAAAAATACTAAAGATAAATGAAACAAAATGCTGATTCTTTGAAAAGATAAATAAAACTGACAGACCGTTAGTGAGATTAACCAAGAAAAGAAGAGAGAAGATCCACAATAAGCTCAATTAGAAACAGAATAGGACATATTACAACCAACCCCACAGAAATACAAAAGATCATTCAAGGCTACTATGAACACCTTTATGCACATAAACTGGAAAGCCTAAGGGAGATGAATACATTCCTGAAAATATACAATCCTCCTAGCTTAAATCAGGAAAAATTAGAAACCCTGAACAGACAAATAACAAGCAGCAAGATTGAAATGGTAATTTAAAAATTAGCAACCAAAAAAAAGTCCAGGACCAGATGAATTTACATCTGAATTCTATCAGACATTCATCGAAGAATTGGTACTAATCCTCTGACACTACTCCACAAGATAGAGAAACAGGGCCTCCTCTCTAAATCATTGTATGAAGCCAGTATCACCCTAACACAAAAACCATGGAAATGACATAACAAAAAAGAAAACTACAGACCAATATCTCTGATGAACATAGATGCAAAAATCCTTAACAAAATACTGGGTAACCAAATCCAAAAGTGTATCAAAAAAAAAAATAATAATCCACCATGGTCAAGTGGGTTTCATACCAGGGATGGAGGGATGGTTTAACATACACAAGTCAATAAATGTGATATACCACATAAACAGAATTAAAAACAAAAATCACACAATCATCTCATAGACACAGAAAAAAACATTTGACAAAATTAAGCATCCCTTTATGATTGAAGCCCTGTGTAAAATCAGCATACAAGGGACATACCTCAATGTAATAAAAGCCATCTATGATAAACCCACACCCAACATAATACTGAATGGGGAAAAGTTGAAATCTTTCCATCTGAGAATCGGAACAAGACAAGGATGCCTACTCTCACCACTCCTCTTCAACATAGTACTGGAAGTCCTAGCCAGAGCAATTAGACAAGAGAAAGAAATAAAGGGCATCCAAATTGGTAACAAGGAAATCAAACTGTTGCTGTTTTCTGATGACATGATCATATAGTTAGAAAACCCTAAAGACTCCTCCAAAAAGCTCTTTAAACTGATAAATGAATTCAGCAAAGTTCAGGATACAAAATTAATGTACACAAATCAATAGCTCTGCTATACACCAACAGCTGCCAAGTTGAGAATCAAATCAAGAACTCAACTCCTTTCACAATAGCTGCAAAAAAAATAAATAAAATACTTAGGAATATACCTAACCAAGGAAGTAAAAGACCTCTAAAAGGAAAACTACAAAACATGGCTGAAAGAAATCACAGATGACACAAACAAATGCAAACAAATCCCATGCTCATGGATTGGTAGACTCAATATTGTGAAAATGACCATACTGCCAAAAGCAATCTATAAATTCAACACAATTCTCATCAAAATACCACCATCATTCTTCACAGAACTAGAAAAAACAATCCTATAATTCATATGGAACCAAAAAATTGCCCACATAGCCAAAGCAAGACTAAGCAAGAAGAACAAACCTGAAGACGTCACATTACCTGACCTCCAATTATACTATAAGGCCATATTCACCAAAACAGTATAGTATTGGTATAAAAATAGGCACATAGACCAATGGAACAGAATAGAGAACCCAGAAATAAGCCCAAATACTTACAGCCAGCCAAAGTAAACAAAGACATAAAGTGGAGAAAGGACGCCCTATTCAACAAATGGTGCTGGGATAATTGGCAAGCCACATGTAGGAGAATGAAACTGGATCCTCATCTCTCACCTTATACAAAAATCAACTCAAGATGGATCAAGGACCTAAATCTAAGACCTGAAACTATAAAAATCCTAGAAGATAACATCGAAAAAAACCCTTCTAGACATCAGCTTAGGCAAAGACTTCATGACCAAGAACCCAAAACCAGATGCAACAAAATGAAGATAAATAGGTGAGACTTAGTTAAAGAGCTTCTGCACAACAAAAGAAACAGTCATCAGAGTAAACAGATAACCCACAGAGTGGTTCACAATCTACACATCCAAAAAATGAATAATATCCAGAATCTACAAGGAACTCAAATTAGCAAGAAAGAAACAAACAATCCCATCAAAAAGTGTGCTAAGGACATAAATGGACAATTCTCAAAAGAAGATATACAAATGGCCAACAAAAATATTTTTAAAATGCTCAACATCACTAATGATCAGAGAAATGCAAGTCAAAACCACAATGTAATACCACCTTACTCCCGCAAGAATGGCCATAAGCAAAAAAATGCAAAAAATAATAGATGTTGGCATGGATGCAGTGAAAAGGGAACACTTCTACACTGCTGGTGGGAATGTACACTAGTACAACCACTATGGAAAACAGTATGGAGATTCCTTAAAGAACTAAAACTAGAATTACCATTTGATCCAGCAATCCCACTACTGGCTATGTACCCAGAGGAAAAGAAGTCCTTATATGAAAATGATATTTGCACACCCATGTTACTGCAGCACTATTTACAGTTGCTAAAATATGGAACCAGCCCAAATACCTATCAATCAACGAGTAGATAAAGAAACTGTGGTCATATACATATATAGCATATATATATATATATAGTATACATATATAGCATATATATATAGTATACATATACAGTATATATATATATCATTTACATATATATCTATATGATGGAATACTACTCAGCACATAAAAAGACATGAATTAATGGCATTGGCAGCAACCTGGATGGAACTGCAGATGATTATTCTAAGCGAAGTAACTAAGGAATGGAAAAGCAGACATCGTATGTTCTCACTCATAAATGGGAGCTAAGCTATGGGGATGCAAAGGCATAAGAATGATACAATAAATTTTGGGGACTCGGGAGAAACGGTGGGAGGGGAGTGAGGGATAAAATACCACAATTTGGGTTCAGTGTATACTGCTTGGGTGATGGGTGCACCAAAATCTCACAAATCACTACTAAAGAACTTACTCATGTAACCAAACACCACCTGTTCCCCAAAAACCTATGGAAGTAAACAATTTTTTAAAAAATGTTACAATGACGTGGCATTTGTGAAGCAGCATGCTCCAGAATTTTGTATTTATTCCAGAGATGAATAAATACAAAAATCCCAGATATATATATTTGAATTTAATACAGAAAGTCAATGAAGTGTTTTAATTCAGTGCAGAAATACATGCAATAAATGGCACTGGGAAACTTTTTTAAGATAACATTACAGTAATTGTCAAAATTACCTTCTCTCTGAGATCCATGTTTTTAACACAATAACGTGAAGAAGCACAGGCTGGCGAAGCTAAATCTACACAAAATAAAGTATTCACCCTCTAACTAAAACAACTCCAGGGAAATTATCTCAAGGCCTTTGAGCCACCTTTAACTTCCCTAAATTCTCCCATAGACTCATACATCTATAAATGTTACAAGGAAAAGGGACATTGAGAGAAAGATTGTCCAAAGAACAGTAATTTGAAAAACTGCAGTCTTAATGTTTCCTCTAATTTGGTTATCTATTAACCTGTCAATGGACCCTTGGGTTGCTTCCACACTTTATCTATTCTGAATAGTGCTGCTCTAAACATGGGTGTACAAATATCTCTTTAAGATGTTTGCTTTCAGTTCTTTTGAAAATATACCCAGAAGTGAAATTGCCAGATCATATAATTCTTATTCTATAATTTATAGATAGCCAATATCTATTTGAAACACTGTCTCAAAAGGAACATAAGATTTTCAGAAACAAAATACAATTTTGTTAACCTCAGGTTCATTGTCAAAGACCTGACATCTCCCTTGAGGGAAAATCTTTGCCCCAGAGTACACCAAAAGCTTCTTCAATTAACTTTTATCTGAAAAGAACTGACAACTTAGGGGCTTTGCAGGATTGGTTGGCCATTATGAGGTGTGGATTATTAATTTTTCTGCTATAACCTTCATATAGTATGACTAAGGAAACAGTGTTTAAATCGCTACCATGGGACTTATCCTCTACAATAGCATCTGCATTTTCAGAAATTTCCCTTTCCTCTGTCCCCACCTTGGGGATCTAAAATTGTTTATTGCCATTCTTGCTATTCATCTCTGATAGAGAAGGATATGCTTTAGGCATCCTATCTCAGAAGCATAACAGGAACCAGAGACCTATTGAATATTTTAGCTTCCCAGCAGGCCTTTTAGCTCAAACCTTCATGCCCTACTTATTAGCAGTCATAGCAGCACCAAAATTGGTTCAAGCAAGAACTGATCTTGTGCTGGATCGTACTTTGAATATTTATGTATCTCATGCAGTCCAAACCCCTCTCCTGACTGAAGAAAAAACAACATTTGTAAACCTCTCACCTTATATTATATGAGATCCTTTTGCTTTGTCCTTTTCATATTACTGTCTACTGCTATCAAAGTCTAAATCCCTTGACTGTACTGCAGCTGCTCAAACTTCAGCTTTCCCCTGTTCTGATCTTGCTGAATTTTCTATTCTACATCCAGATTTCACCCACTTTGTTGACAGTTCACACATCTGCTACTCAGAAAGAGGTTTCCAGGTGAGACATGTCATTACAGATTTTCACAGTCCTGTAGAATATGAGCCTCTACTGATGTAAAGTTAGCTCAGATAGTGGATCTCAAACCTTCTCAAGAGCTCGCACTTTAGCTCAGGATAGAAGAGTTGTCACCTATGTAGGTTGTGCGTGTGCTTTTGGAGTAGTATATGAATTTGATACGTATCTCATGCAGTCCAAAACCCTCTCCTGACTGCAAAGGATTTATGACTGCACCTGAAACACCAATTAAAAATGAGAAGCAGGCAGCTGACCTCCTAGAGGCTTTATTACCACAAGGGGTGATCTTATTCAAAATTGAAGCTCACATGTGCAATAAAACATCTGAGGCAAAGGGAAACTCATTAGTTTATAAATACGCCAAGCTAGCAGTTTATAAATCCGTCCCAATCCCACCACCATCAGACAAGATATTAAAAGCTATTCTGCTTACCACCACATCCTCGAATGAAGGAAGTGAGAAATGTCTGTTTTATCCACCTGATGAGCTTTGGAGACACCTAGACATCCACTTGGTCTCTCCTCAGTTCCTTGCCTGAAATGTATTCTATGACCTTTGCAAGATTACACATCATGAGCAAGAATAACAAAATCAACTTCTATGCTGACCTTGGAAGTGAAACTACCCCCCTTACCTCAAACAAACGGTATTCTCTTGCCACATCTTCCAAAACCATAATCCTGGCAAAACTGTAAAGGTGGGACAACATAGAAAGTCATTTCCAGTGACTTTCTCCATTGGCAATTAGATTTTGTTCGACTCCCTACATCTCATGGCTCATGAATATGCCCTTACCATTATTCACATGTTCTCTCATTGGCTAGAAGCTCCCACGTAAAAAAAAAAAAAAAAAGGTCACTACCACTACTGTTATTAAACTTCCCCTTAGAATAAGTTGTCCACTTTACTGGTAAAATCCTCTATGAAATCCAAAAAGATATTTATTTGTCCTACAAATTATAACGTCTTTACTATCTCCATCACCTGGAGTGATTGAACTAGCAATCACATATTTAAACTAAAACTTGCAAAACTCTCAGAGGAGGACATCACACAAAATGGTGAAGTAGGAACCCCTAGAGGTCAATCCCTCCACTGAAACAACCCTTAAACTGAAAAAACAAACAAACAAACAAACAAAACAAACAACCCCAAAACCAAAACTATTAGAAGCATCTATTTTATAATTCTGAGACCTAACTGGAAATGTAGCAGGAAGGGAGGTGCTTGATGAAGGGAAAGGATGCTGATCATGTGCAAGGAGGCAGCCTGCACAAAACAGCTACCATTCCCCATTCCTTACCCTCACCTTAACTATGGGAATAAGCATCTCACATTTTTGGAGTACCTGATTTGTGCCACAGCGGCCAGTAAGAACACTGTTCCAAAAACATTTGGGGTTGTGTATTTTTATAGGTCTGTTGGTGGCCTGAGAAAACTTTGTTTTGGCCCTCGGGCTGTAGTGGCTTCCCAAAGACATTTAGAATGTAATGTTCCAAATGCCACTGAATTCTACATGTTAAAATATTTTAAAGGGAAAATTTGTGCACTTTACCACACAAAAAAAATGTGGCAGTCTCAGTGCTGTCTTATAGCCATGTCATAATGTACTTTGATTTTTTATTTGAAAAATTCCTCTTAAATATTGGTACACAGTAAGTTTTTAAAACGGGATATGTATCAAAGCAATATGGCTAGCACAAATAACTATGATAGGATAGTAGATTTGGCTGTCCTTCAAAGAAACACAATAATATATGCATACAAATTGTTAATATTAAAACACTACAAATAAGAACACTTGACATTGGGCCTATGAGAAAATCCTGGCAGGACTAAGACCTTTGAAAAAATCTATATCAGAATCAGATACCCAGGAAGTAATCAGAATTAGTATGACTATGGTACTTTTGAATAAGACAATAAAATGTCATTATTAAAAATAGTCATTGAACATTCACGTTGGCTTCTGTAAAGAATATATCAATTACTCATCAAGCTATGTTGTCTGCATACCTATGTTTTGGTGATGAAGAAGAAAACCTTTAGTTAGTTCACAGAAACATACACTACAGTAATGACTCAGAACAAAAGGAACCAATTAATTTCCCCTGTTACATATAAAGCTTCAGACGACTATTAAATGAAGTACAGAGTTGGTTAAAAAAATAGGATAGACAAACAGAAGGAAAATTGGGGATTGCAAAGGAGCCAATCCCTTGGTATCCAACCTTCAAATCACCTTTTATAATGTTGACTTCTACCCTGGGCCCTGCATTGGAACTATTTTTCCTACCAAATTACATTTAGTAAGTCATAATTAATTCATGCCATCTGTATTATTATTATTTATCAGCTTCACTTTTGATTCAGATTTTTACCAACAATCCATAGTTATGAAGGTTTTATAATATTATGAATTACATAAATCACTGTCATGTTTGTGAAAAGCTATAAAGTCAAGCAAGCCGGCAAAAAACTTATGTACTGCTCACTAATAGCAATCATTTAAATGTGGTCATCAATCTGTGCTCAAGTCCAAAATTAGTCACACAGTGGGTGTATTTAATTTGCGTAGTATAACTGCCTCACATGGGGCTCTGTTTAATCATGATTGGTGCAACTATCACCCGCCCAGAAATTCCTGTGAAGTCATCAAGAGCCAATTGAGTGTTCTTCCCTTGATACCAGTTTGATATGAACCAGCCAAAAAGCAAAAGTGCTTTACATTTTGGTTAGCTTTTTGAGCCTTATAATTAGAAAGTGTGTATTATTCATTAGGATTGTAAAATACTGGAAGTAGTTGCTTATTCTTTTATTTATATACACATGCAAAACTGAGGATTTTGAACAAGTCAGTTGTTGGCTAAAAAAAAAAAAGCACCAGGATTATATGGTGCCAGGGGTGTTTAAAGATAGGACACCAATCAATTGCGTTAGATTTAAATTTAAATAAAATAATTCAATGTAGTCACTCGGTTCACTGTGTTCTTACAGCACTTAGTACATATCATTATTATAGGAATGTCATTATATTTCAATAATTCTCTCATCCTTGTGATTCTGATACATACTGCAGTGCCTGGCAGGCAGTAGGCGGCTAATACATGTTTGTTTAACAAAGGGCTTTATTTTGCTCAGCCTGAAGTGTGTCAGTATTTACGACTGATTTTGTTCCACAAAAAAAAAAAAAAAAAAAGGAGGGATGCTGTTTCCGAAGAAAAGCTAAATGCATGTGTGAAGGACGTGAGAATGTCAAGGGAGCAAAAGCAAACCTCAGTTCTACATCTAAATTCCACGGCAAACAATTACAAAATGAACCTCTTCCTTCCTCTTGAGCTCACTATGTGTTCAATAATGGGACACAATCCTGCAATTTAAGCTAGCATTTAGAAGGGAAGCATTGAAATCACACACATCAGCGTCCTTAGCTTGGCAATACCAGTTAGTGTGTGTTTTGGATTGTATTAGTCCATTTTCACACTGCTATAAAGACTTACCTGAGACTGGGTAATTCATAAACAAAGGAAATTTAATTGACTCACAGTTCCACAGGGTGGGAAGCCTCAGAAAACTTACAATCATGAAAAAAGGTGAAGAAGCATGTCTTATACGGCAGCAGGAAAGAGAGAGAGAAGAGAGAGAGAAAGTGAAGGGGGAAAAGCCCGTTATAAAACCATCAGATCTCATGAGAACTCACTCAGTATCATGAAAACAGCATGGGGAAACCTCCATCATGATCTAATCACCTCCCACTAGGTCCTGCCCTCGACACATGAGAATTACAAGGATTACAATTCAAGATGAGATTTGAGTAGGATTTGAGTAGGAACACAGAGCCAAATCAAATAATTCTGCCCCAGCCCCTCCCAAATCTCATGTCTTTTCACATTTCAAAACCAATCATGCCTTCCGACTGTCCCCCAAAGTCTTAATTCATTTCAGCATTAACTCATAAGTCCACAGTCCAAAGTCTCATCTGAGACAATGCAAGTCCCTTCTGCCTATGAGCCTGTACAATAAAAAACAAGTTAGTTGTTTCCAAGACACAATGTGGGTACAGGCATTGGGTAAATGTTCCCATTCCAAATGGGAAAAATTGGTCAGAACAAGGGGGCTATAGGCCCCATGCAAATCTGAAACCAGGTAGGGCAGTTGTTCTAACTTAAAGCTCTGAAATGATTTCCTTTGACTCCATGTTTCATGTCCAGGGCACACTGATGCAAGAGGTAGGCTCCCGTAGTCTTGGCCAGTTCTGCCTCTGTGGCTTTACAGGTTACAATTCCCCTCCCAGCTGATTTCACCAGTGGGCATTGAGCATCTGTGGCTTTTCCAGGTGCATAGTGCAAGCTCTTGGTGCATCTATCATTCTGGGGTCTGGAGGACAGTGGCCCCCTTCTCACAGCTCCACTAGGCAGTGTCCCCAGTTTCAGGGCTCACACCTCACATTTCCTTTTCTCTCTGCCCCAGCAGAGGCTCTCCATGTGTGCTCCACCCCTGCAGCACACCTCTGCCTGGACATCCAGGCATTTCCATACATCCTTTGAAATCAAGGTGGAGGTTCCCAAATCTCAATTCTTGTGTTCTGCGCAACCACAAGACCAACCCCACGTGGAAGCTGCCAAGGCTTGGGGCTTGCGCTTTCTGAGGCAATGGTCTGAACTGTATCTTGCCCCTTTTAGCCATGGCTGGAGTGGCTGGGATACAGGACACTAAGTCCTGAGACTGCACACAGCAGGGGATTCCTGGATCCAGCCTATGAAACCATTTTTCTCTCCTAGGCCTGTGATAGGAGGGGCTGCTGTGAAGGTCTTTGACATGCCCTGGAGACATTTTCCCTATTGTCTTGGTGATTAACATTTGGCTTCTCATTTTTTATGCAAATTTCTGCAGCAAGCTTGAACTTCTCTTCATAAAATGTGTTTTTCTTTTCTATTGCATCGTCAGGCTGCAAATTTTCCAAACTTTTATGCTCTGCTTCCATTTTAAACATAAATTCCAATTTCAGATAATCTATCTCAAATTCAAAGTTTTGCAGATCTCTAGGGCAAAGGCAACATGCTGCCAGTCTCTTTGCTAAAGCATAGAAAGAGTAACCTTTGCTCCAGTTCCCAAGAAGTTCCTCATCTCCATCTGAGACCACTTCGGCCTGGACTTCATTGTCCATAGCATTATCAGCATTTTGGTCAAAGCCATTCAACAAGTCTCTAGGAAGTTCCAAACTTTCCCACATCTTCCTGTCTTCTTCAAAGCTCTTCAAACTGTTCCAACCTCTGCCCATTACCCAGTTCCAAAGTTGCTTCCACATTTTCTGGTATCCCTATAGCAGTGCCCCATTCTACCGGTACAAATTTACTATGTTACTCCATCTTCACTCTACTATAAAGACATACACAAGAGTGGGTGATTTATAAAGAAAAGAGGTTTAATTGACTCACAGTTCCACAGGGCTGGGGAGGCCTCAGGAAACCTACAATCTTAGTAGAAGGGGAAGAGGCATGTCTTACATGGCAGCAGGCAAGAGACAGTGAATGACTCAAGGGGGAAGAGCCCCTTATAAAACCATCAGATCTCATGAGAATTCATTCAGTATCATGAGAACAGCATGGAGGAAACTGCCCCCATGATCTAATCACCTTCCACCAGGTCCCTCCCTCAACATGTGGGGATTTTGGGAATTAAAATTTGAGGCGCAATTTTGGTGGTGACACAGAGGCAAACTATATCATGAGCCAAAGTACGTATTGTCACCAAACTTGATTTTTCTCATCCATGAAATGGTGCTAATAGTAACCATCTTATAAGTTACCTAAAAGCCAGGCCTACATCAGAAAATTTGGGGTGATAGTGAAGGGTTTATGACAAAATAAAATTCAGGACAATTTTAGAAACTAAAAGAGATTGATTCATATCTTTTTGACCTCCCACATCTTTCTCTCACCTCTCCTAACATGACTTCCTAGCCTCCAGTCATTGTAACAACACATAAGACCTTCAAACAAATATCTCAATTTCCATATCTCATAAATAGTATTTATTGCCTTTCTCATGTATCATTTTTTTCCTTCAATGGGAGAAACATTTTTCAAAAATGCCTAGATAATAAAGGGTCAGATGGTATAACTGAAACATACATTTCATCAAAAGCTGAGTCAATCAGTAATGATGACACTCGGACTGCTCTTTGAAATTTATGCAGTTTTTCTCACAATCATCTCTTCATTTTATTCTGTGTCTCTGTCTCAGTTACTGTTTCTCTCTCTCTTCCTCTCTCTCTCTCTCACACACACACACACACACACACACACACCCCGAGAGGGAGAGAGAGAGACAGAGAGAGAGAGAGTTATAAAATAGGCAAGGCAAGTATTATTATTTCAGACTTTTGGATGACAAATGAGAATGCTGAATATTGTAGTTTGAAAAAGCATGAACCAGGCATGGTGTTCACGCCTGTAATCCCAAAGCTTTGTGAGGCTGAGGTGGGAGGATGGCTTGAGGCCAGGAGTTTGAGACCAGCTTGGGCAACATAGCGAGATCCTCTCTCTACAAAACCTTTTTTTAAGAATTAAATGTGCATGTTGGGATGCACCTGTAGTCTTAGCCACTTAGGAGGCTGATGTGGGAGGATTCCTTGAGCCCAGGAATTTGAGGCTGCAGTGAACTATGATTGTGCTACTGCACTCCAGCCTGGGTAATAGAGTGATACCCTGTCTCTAAAATAATAATAATAATAATAACGATAATAATAATAATAATAATTAATAATAATAATAATAAAACATGGGCTGCAGAGTCAGACCCCAGTTTAAATCTTGATTCTTTGTGAACTTGAGCGAGTTCCCTGAACATTCTGAGACTTAGTTTCCTATTCTGTAAAATGGGTACATGGCAATCTTAAAGGAGCTTTTTGGGATATAAAATGAGACGACAGGAGGCATGCAACACATGATCACACTTATAACAAGTCCCAGGAGTTGCCTAAATTTATCTTCTTAATGACAGGACCTAGACTAGAATCTAGGAGATCTGACTCCTAATTTAGCAGATCTTCTGCAAATAGCTATTGCTGGGTTTTCATATTTAAAAAAAACGTGTCTCTGCTGGTTTCCTATAGCAACTAAACATCGACTGCATTTTCTTCATTTGTTCAAATACTTAGAAACATACCAAGATTACACAATATCAAACTAATCAGTGTAACAGTGACATATTCAGTACCCCAGTATGTGGCATTATTATTATGGTAACAATTTGAATTTTTTGTTATAGAGATGCCATTACAGTCATTAACTATGATGCCAAAGGAACAGCACTACCCACATGAGAAATCTTTGTAGAACCTTATTCTAAAAGGATGGAAAAAGAAATTCTGTCATCAAAGGAAACATACGAACAGTGTCTCAGGCAGTACAACATCACAAACTAAAAGCTGAATTGAGAATTTGGATATATTTATAAATGCTTAAGTATATTAACTGTGCAAATATTCTCTATAAAAGGGAAAATAAAACAGAATTGTAATGACTGCTTCAATGCTATTTGGAGAACAAATCAGCACATTGCACATTTGAAAATAAAAGGCTTGCATAAGAAGTACAGGCTGCAGGTCAGTGTACTTAAAAATAAAATATATCTCTACTGGGTCATTCTCATTATCAAAGATCAATCATTGAATAATGTTAACTGAGATAATGTTGAAAGAGAGTCATGGCTATTGCCAATGAGTATAGAATTCTTCCTTTTTAAATTCATATCAAGATTTAGCCAATTTTATAAAATATTAAGACTTAAAAATGAATTTATTTCAAAGAATTTTATTAAATTATTTGTATACTTTATTAAAGGAATTATAAATATTTCTAAATAATATTAAGAAATCAACACTAGTAATCACTCTCCCCGGTCCCCTGCAAAATTCTCAGATTTATCCATATTGCTGACTGGCCAAAGTAAGAATCTAAGACAACTGAAACTTTGCTGAGGTAACAGAGGAATTTCAGAAAATTTTATTCATAACCTCAGGGTACCCAAACTCCTTACTTTACTTATACTGATTTAAAATCTGCTAGAATAATTTTCCTCAAAGTGCCTTCTAATTGGAGCAAATTGCAAATCCTTCCACACAATTATCCTACCACTAACTCTAATGCCCATCAAACACTCTGTTTACTTACCTGTCCTCTGATCCCATGCTAAATCCAATCTCCCAGGGTTAAGCCATTTGATAGGGGCCAGGAGAATGGCTTCATTTTTCATTTGATAAACACTCCACTAGGTGCTGAAAACACATTGACAAAGCAAATGTCCTCTGCTCATGAGGGGCATAGAGCCTAAACGGAGTAGGACCTACATGAAGTTGTGAAATTGTGTAAAGGTTATATGTTGTGGGGTCTTAACAGAAAGGAGAACCTTATTCTACAAAGATGGAAAAAGCATGGCTTTGGTAAGGGTCCCTGGGAAACAGACCCAGAGAGAGAGATTAGTGTGCGATAGATTTATCTATTGGGCATGCTCTCAGAAGCAACATCTATGGGCAAGGAAATAACGTAGATTTAGGAAGAGGAAGAGCCTCAGTCAAGGAAGTAACAAGAGAAATACAAGTGGATTATCTGGGTGTCAAATGTATTCTCTCAGCTCCATTGTGAAACAGCAGCCCTATCTCCTCCTGATGATCAATGCCAACAGTTCCTGTTGGAAGTGATGTATTTCTGTACCTGATGCGGTCTTTTGGAACACTGAACCTCAAGTGAGAGGGAGAAAGCCATAGCTCAAATTTGATGAGACCCTTGATGTGTCCCCTGGTGAAAGCATCCCCCCTTTAGGAATTAAGACTGCTAAACCTGAAGGTCCCAGAGCTGTGGTAACAGGAAGGAAAAATTCTATGAGTGGGTCACTGGGAATTATGATGAGTGAGAACTTATAGGACTTGTTTCCTAGACTCACGCATTTTACTACTGGGAGCAAAGCTCAATATGACTACCTTAATTTAGAGTAGATTCTGTGTCCTTGAGGATGGTGTCCTGTCCCAGTGGGGTATCATCTCTAAGCTGGCACCTCTGCCATGTTTTTAATTGGTTATTTTATCATTCTCAGATCAGCAGCATCTTGGTCATGTGATATGTGATAGGAACAGTAGCTCTCATGATTACATGCTCACTGCTGAACCTCCTTCACTATGAAGGAAGTTGCTTGGTCTAATGTTCTTACCTCACAGGCTAAGAAACTAAGGTGAGAGCTCTGCTCACTACCAGATGTGTCTACTCCAATCACATATTCATGGACTCAGGAAATAACCCTCCTGGAGTGAGGAAGAGGAGATTTCAGGGAGAAGGGAAAGTATGAAAGATGCATAATTTCCTAAAGTCCCTAATGGTTTAGGATAATTGCAAGGATGTCGGTAGGGTGGAGCATAATATTTTTGGGCTAGGGGAAAACTGAAGTAAGAGGTAGGAGGGGGCAGGTAAGGTAGACAATTGAATCCCATGCTAATCAGTGTAGATATTACTTTAAATACCAAAATACTGTAATAGAATTTATATTTTCTAAAACTTTACTCTGTGAAAGTGTGGAAGTTAGATTGGAGAAGACTTAATATATGTATGTAGTAATAGTTGGGGTGTAAGAAAAACAGAATCGTCAAAGATCTCTCTAGGTTTTCAGCCTGAGAAACCAGAAGAATAGACTTACAATTAACTGAGATGGGAAAACTGCAGAAGAGGGCTTGTCTGGGGAAGATGAGCAATTCAATTGGGCATTAGATATCTAAGTGGAGATGTCAAGGTGGCAGTTTTCCATAGAAAAAATGGAGTTCAAGGGAGGGCCCCAGGATGGCAGCATAAACTTGGATGGTTTGGCTGTGTGCCCACCCAAATCTCATCTTGAATTGTAGTTCTCATAATTCTCATGTGTCATGAGAGGGACTTGGTGGCAGGTAATTGAATCATGGGGGTGGGTCTTTCCCATGCTATTCCTGTGGTAGTAAGTAAGTCTCATGAGATCTTATGATTTTATAAAAGGGGAATTCCCCTGTACACGCTCTCTCTTGCCTTCCACCATGTAAGACATCCCTTTGATCTTCCTTTTTCTTCTGCCATAATTGTGAGGCCTCCCCAGCCATGTGTACCTGTGAGTTCATTAAACCTCTTTCCTTTATAAATTACCCAGTCTCAGGTATGTCTTTATTAGCAGCATGAGAACAGACCAATACACTTGGGAACCATCAACACATAAATGGAATATTAATACTGGTACCAAAACAGATATATAGACCAATGGAACAGAACATAGGCCTTAGAAATAACGCAATAATGCCACACATCTACAACCATCAGATCTTTGACAAACCCGACAAAAACAAGCAATGGGGAAAAAAATTCCCTATTTAATGAATGGTGTTGGGAAAACCGGCTAGCCATATGCAGAAAACTGAAACTGGACCCCTTCCTTACACTTTATGCAAAAATTAACTCAAGATAGATGAAAGACTTAAATGTAAGACCTAAAACCACAAAAACTCTACAAGAAAACCTAGGCAATGCCATTCAGATCACAGGCATGGCCAAAGACTTCATGACTAAAACCAAAAGCAATGACAACAAAAGCCAAAATGGACAAATGCGATCTAATTAAACTACAGAACTTCTGCATAGCAAAAGAAACCATCATCAGAGATCATAGTGAACGGGAAACCTACAGAAAGGGGGAACATTTTTGCAATCTATCCAACTGACAAAGCACTAACATCCAGAATCTACATGGAACTTAAACAAATTTACAAGAAAAAAACAAACAACCCCATCAAAAAGTGGGGGAAGGATATGAACACACACTTTTCAAAAGACGACATTTATGCAGCAAACAAACATATGAAGAAAAGCTCATCATCACTGGTCATTAGAGAAATGCAAATCAAAACTACAATGAGATACCATCTCACGCCAGTTAGAATGGTGATCATTAAAAACTCAGGAAACAACAGATGCTGGAGAGGATGTGGAGAAACAGGAATGCTTTTAGACTGTTGGTGGGAGTGTAAATTAGTTCAACCATTGTGGAAGACAGTGTGGCGATTTCTCGAGGATCTAGAACCAGAAATACCATTTGACCCAGCAATCCATTACTGGGTATATACCCAAAGGATTATAAATTATTCTACTATAAAGACACATGCACACATATGTTTGTTGCAGCACTGTTCACAATAGCAAAGACTTGGAACCAACCCAAATGCCCATCAATGATAGACTTGATAAAGAAAATGTGGCACATATACACCATGGAATACTATGCAGCCATAAGAAAGGATGAGTTCATGTCCTTCGCAGGAACATGGATGAAACTGGAAACCATCATTCTCAGCAAACTGACACAGGAACAGAAAACCAAACACCGCATGTTCTCACTCATAAGCGGAATTTGAACAATAAGAGCACATGGACACAGGGAGGGGAACATCACACATGCAGGCCTGTCAGGGGGTGGGGGTCTAGGGGAGGGATGCCATTAGGAGAAATACCTAACGTAGATGATGGGTTGATGGGAGCAGCAAACCACCATGGCACTTTTATACCTATGTAACAAACGTGCACGTTCTGCACATGTATCCCCAAAACTTAGAGTGTAATTTTTAAAAAGACAGAAAAATATATCCAGTAGAGTGAGAGTCAGTGACAGAAAAAGAGGGTCCAAGACTGAGCCTGGTATTTTCCAAATTTCAGAAGTCACAGGAATGAGGAACAATCCGGAGACTAACAAGGTGCAGTCAGTGAGAGGGAGCAGGAAGACTTGGTCCTGGAAGCCAAGTGAATAAAGTGTTTCTGAGAGAAAGGAGTAATCAGCTGTGGGAAATGCTGCTGAATCAGCCTAGTGAGTTGAGAAATGAGGACTGAACATTGGATTTAGCAATGAAGATGGCATTGGTGATCTTAACCAAGAGAGCTTTTGGCAGAGGAGCAGAGGCAAGATTCTAGATTCAAGGTAGAATGATAGGAGAGGAATTCAAGACAGGCTATCGAGACATCTCTTCTAAAGATCTCTGCAGTAAAGCAGGACAGAGAAATACGATGGTAGATAGCTAATCAGGGTGTGATCCAAAGGTTAAGAGAAATGTTTCTTGGTTTGGGTCCTTTTGTTTTGTTTAGTTAGATTTTTTTTTAATGGATAGGTAAAATAGCAGCATAGCTGTCTTCCAAATTGAAATATCTAGTAGGAAAGGTCATTATGCTGCAGCAATATCTTCATGTTAGTAGGTCAGAGTTTTTGGGATCTAATGAAAGAAGTATACAGGCTGGCCTTTAGATAGAAACACAGCTAATGCATAGTTACAGCAGAACAGACAGTGACTACGACCACATATATAAATAGATGAAGAGATGTAGCTCTGGAAGTCTGTGGAAGTCTCTTCTAATTGCTTCTGTTTTCTCAGTGAATTAAGAAACACGATTGTTTGTTTTCTTAAGTGTTTGCTTGCTTATTTTCTGAACCTCTGTGCATACTGCCTTAATCCATTCACCCTGCCAGCCTCTAATTACCTTTTTTACTATATCTGAAAATCCCCTGGTGACTAGAGGTCTCTGCAGTCAATGACACCTATGGAGATGGAATGCAAGAAGTGGCCAAATATACCAATTGATATTGTGGAGCTGAGTTCAGTCTGCAATACATGACCCAGAATTTTCAGGACAATTGTACTTCTCTAGTTGGAACTTTAGATGGAGTATGATATTTGATCCAATTCTATGACATTTCTCCTTATATCTTGCTCTTCTAGCTTCACTGCAGTGTTTAATGCATTGACCTTGGGCTATAAGAGTCTGTCCAGTGCTCAGGGTCCACATTAAACAAGAGCCTACACTGCCTGCTTTCATCTTCAAGATAAGAGAAATACTCGTAGAGGCAGAGGATGTAAAAGGCTTAGAGCAGTAGTTTTCAAACTTGGCTGATCATTGCACTCATCCGGGTTACTGTTTGAAAAATATACACTCCAGGGCCTCTCACTTAAACTTGGATTAAAGCAAACCCAGGGTGGAACATAGATATGCTAATTACCTAAATTCGTGAAATCTCAGTGGACTCATCAGTAACACTGGAAATGAAAATATCCTTTTTATTTCTAGTACAGTGCCTGAAATACTGCAGACGTGCAAAAAATTGCTTAAAAATTGCTATCTCATTCCCCTTACTACACTTCTCCCAGAGCATACCTAAGCTTCTCCCCATTTTGTCTTTCAGAGGAAAGAGACTTTATTTCAGTAAACAGATTGCAAACTGGGGCGACACAACCTTCAGCATCAAGGGAAAGTGCATTCTATGAAACAAAGGAAGGTTTTGGCATTGATAAAATTCCCACTCAGGTCATCTTATGCAAATACAGGAGTCAAACTTGCTTGGTTCTGATTGGTTGATGCAGCTGAGTTCTGATTGGTTAAAGCAGGCTACAGCCTATTATTGGGTGATTCAAGTGGCATAGGCAAGAACAGTCAGTTATGAAAGTCCCAAAGTCAAGCAGACATGTAGGTTTTCCAGAAATTCAGAGTATGTGTGTAACTTGTAGTCTGCAAATGACCACTTGGTTCTATTTTATGTCATTATTTTTTAATTTTTTAAAAATAATTTTATCTTTTATTTTAAATTGAGGAGGTACACATGCAGGTCTGCTACCTAGGTATATCGTGTGATGCTGAGGCTTGGAGTATGATTGTTTCTGCCACCCAGGTACTTATTTTTTCAAATGTTGTAAAACATACATTATACATAACAAAAAGTTTACCATTTTAAGTATATTTATGTGTACATTTCAGTGGCATTTAGTACAGTCATGCTGTTGTGCAACCTCTACCCTATGTTTTAAAATAAATACTGTTTCGGAATACTTAAATTCACAGAAAAGTTGCACAGTTAGTACAGATCTTGCCCACACTTCTTACCTATTGTCCCCTATTATTAACATCTTACAGTATAATGGGACATTTGTCGAATCCAAGAAACCAACATTGATTCTAGACCTTGTACATTTTTCATTTGTTTTCCATTTAAAGTTATTTTTCTGTTTCTGGATCCAGCCCAAGACACCTCTTTCCCTCCCTATTTTTTCTTCTTTCCAGTGCCACAGAGATTATTTTTATAAAAAATTTTAACCATTTTATTGAGGTATGATTGACATAAAAATCTGCACAGAATTAATGTATGCAACTTGATGACTTTGGGTATAAGTATATACCCATACAACCATCACCATAATCTATGCCATAAACATATTCATCTACTCCAAAATTTCCTATTGCCCTTTTTATTATAATTATTTATTATTCGTGATAAGAATATTTCACAATTTTTAAAATATATAGTACAGTATTGTTAACTGTAGACCCTAGGCTGTACAGTGGAGCTCTAGAGCTTATTCATCTCACATAACTGAAACTTTGCACCTTTTGACTGATACCTGTCTGTTTTCCCCTTTTGTCAGCCATTAACAACCATCATCCTACTCTCTGTTCCTATGACTATGACTGTTAGAATCCTCATTTAAGTGATATCATGTAGTACTTGTCTTTCTGATTTATTTCACTTAGCATCATGTCTTCCAATTCATTTATGTTGTTGCAAATGACAGGATTTCCTTTTCGGAGTGGAAATAATATTCTACTGTATGTATAGACCAAATGTTCTTTATCAGTTCATCCATCGATGGGTACTTACGTTGCTTCCACAACTTGGCCATTTGTGAATACTGCTGGAACGAGCATGGGAGAGCAGATACCTCTTTGACATATTGATTTCCATTTCTTTGGATATATACCCAGAAGTGGGATTGCTAGACCATGTGGCATTTTTAATTTTTAGAGGAATCTCCATACTGTTTCCCAGAGTGACTGCACCAATTTATATACCACCCAAGGTGTAAAAGCGTTCTCTTTTCTTCACATCTTCACCAATGCTCTTTTTAAAAAATAATAGCCATTCTAACAGATATGAAGTTATACCTCCTCATGGTTTCGATTTGCATTTTTCTGATGATGAGTAATGAGCATTTTTTGATATACCTGCTGGCTATTTGTACGTCTTTTTTGAGAAATGTCTATTCAGGATCTTTGCCCATTTCTTAATCAGGTTGTTTGTTTTGTTGCTATTGGGTCATTTGAATTCATTATATAGTTTGAATATTAACTACCCCGTCCCTTTTTTGAAGAAAATTATAACTTTCTAGCAAAGGTTTTCTAAAATTATTACATTTTAAACATCTAACCACATGCTTTACTTTTCTATTAACAAATTTATTTTTTTCTCTTTTTTGTATATTAGAGTAGAAACAACTCATTCTTACAGGCACCAAGAAAAAATATTCTCTCTTGTGGATAAGCAATGTGCTCTACAGATGTCATAGGAGCTGCTCTGCCAGCCATTGTGGTAGCTGTATAGACAGCTTCCAAACCTTCACTTCAGCTTATAGAGAGGGAGCAAGGAATGTTGTTTACAAAGCTACATTACATAAAAGATACTTGGCATTACAAACATATCAGCCCTGATCCTTACTTAGCATGATTTATCAAGCTCAAGCTCATAAGGTGATCATTTATACATTCAATATTTATTGTGACCCTACTATATGCGGATATTTTGGAAGGCACTTGAAACACAAAGACAAATGAGACGGTATTGGTGCTGTCAATGAATGCAGTCTAACGGAGAAGTCAAACATGTACCAAATGCTATGATAATGCACTGTAATGAAGGCTTGCATTGACGTAAATGTATATTACAATCACTAAGATGAGGCCAAATGAGGCTTTTCCTAAAAGAGATGAAGGTTAAGTTGAAAAAAAAGAAAAGATATATTAGCAAGGATAGGGAGAGAAAGTGTTACAAGTGAACATGAATAAAGGAACAGAGACATGAGAAAATGAGGCAAACCGTGGTCCTTTAAGAAGCTCTATATGGCTAATGTGTCAGTGTGTGTATGGAGAGGGATGGTGCATGTTTACAAAGATTGAGACTGGTGACAGAGGAAAAACTGAATATGATATGAAATGTTCATGAATTTAGACTTGATTCTGAATGAGAGGTAGAGTCATTGAAAAAGTGATCAACTTCTTATTTCTACTAAACTGTACTTGTATCAGGTGTTCATTATGAAATGAAGGCTTGGCTAGTAAGTGGCAGAGCTGGAACCTGAATCAATTTTGCTAGATAAGAAAGCATATGCTTTATATGCAACTTGAGTACCACCTATAATTCCTCATAGAACAGCTCTCCTTTCCACATGACCACAGCTCTGCTGGGCAAAAGACTTTGTAGTCATCTTTGACATCTGTTTGCATTTCATCTTTCTCCCAATTGTCACCCATTCCTACCATTTCTCTTTCCTTTCCTTTTTAAGTGTGATCACAGCTATCTTGGACCTTCTAATGCACACTGAATTTAATATATTAGCTACCTGCTTGGCCACACTTATTGCAGTCCCTACAGTCCTGGAAATGACTTATAATCCAATAATCCAGTCATTTCAAATACTGGTATAATCACGCAATTGAAGATACATCTATGCCTTCACTTCTTCAAGATCCTCTAAGAGATAGATATGTACTATAACAAAGCCCGATTTCTATCCCTTTTACATGTTACCTGTAGTGTATTTCTTTTACAAACATGTTTCCCTTTAACCCCCCCAAATAAAAATTTGATTGCAGTAATGTCAGAAGTCTCCCTGGCCTCTGTATTAGGCATACTCAGTCTTTCCTTTGTGCCTTTACCCACATTATCCCTGCCACTTGGGGGATGACCTCGTCTCCCACCTATTCACTAATTAAAAAATCACAGGTCATTTTCAGATCAGCTATTTTATCTTTTCTATAATGTGGTCCTGTCAGCTACTATGAGACACCAAGATCTCTCCTACAAGGGATTCTTATTAAACTTTTAAGACTTAATTGTTCTCTACATCTGTTTATCTTTTCCTTTTTGAGATCTGTTATAAATATTTTAGTTTAGATCTAATTACATCATACCTGCATTATTACAATAGTATGCTGACTGGCTTCCTTGATACTAGTTTCTCTTTTATAATTTTACCATGTATACTGTTAACAGACTAGACTTCATCAAAAATAATTACTCATTCCAGGTTAAATTTCAAAGCCCTTCACTGAGCATCCATGACTGTTTATTACCCAACTATATCTTCCAGTATTTCTCTGTATGAAGCCAGTGTTCAAGCCCAAGCAATATGCTTTTTGCTCTATAGATATTTCAAGCCCAGGTCTACTTTATATATTTTCTTATGTAGTTCTTTCAGCCTGCAATGTCTTTCTTTTCTCTTCTCTGTTTGGCAGATATTTTTATGACTTTTAGACCTCCCACTCCTCTTGAATTTAACACCCCTAATTTTGCTCACTGTATCACCTAGGGTTTTAGTTGCAAGCAACCAACATGGTTCTAGTTACTTAAGAAGAAAATAAACTGAATTAAAGAATATTGGATCATTCACAGAATCGTCTCGAGGTAGGTAGGATGGGACTAAAGGTTAAGCCTTTAGGAATAATGCCTAAGGCCAGGCTACAATGTTAGATTGATTTAGAAAGAAAAGAAAGAAAAAAAGAAAGAAAGAAAGAAAGAAAGAAAGAAAGAAAGAAAGAAAGAAAGAAAGAAAGAAAGAAAGAAAGAAAGGAAAAGAAAAGAAAGAAAAGAAAGAAAGAAAGAAAGAAAGAAAGAAAGAAAGAAAGAAAAGAAAGAAAGAAGGAAAGAAAGAAAGAAAGAAAAGAAAGGGAAGGAAGGAAGGAAGGAAGGAAGGAAGGAAAGAAGGAAGGGGAAAGAAAGAAAGAAAGAAAGAAAGAAAAGAAAAGAAAAGGAGAAACAGCCACAGTTGCTTTTCCGATGAGCACTAGAGGAAATCACTGCCATTGCTTCCACTGTCCCCTGCCCAGGCAAATGTTGAGCCAGAAACTAAACTTTGCAATTGTCAGTCCCCCCCAAATCAGACAGTTATACCTCAACATTTTTCAACAAAATGGATTTCACATGAAATCACCTTCCTCCATTTTCTCATCTCAAAATCAAAGTCTCACACAAGTATGTCTAGGTCACATGAATAAGATATAACTGCAGGGAAGCTGAAAATGTTTTCCCGGGGTTATACCCTGGAGAAGCATAAAAGTCCTCAGATGGAGCAAGGGCACTAAAACATTCTAAAGGTCCATGCAATTGGGCAACTCAACATTCTCTCCTACCTCTCCACCTTCTTCATAGAAGCTAAAAAGTCTAAACCTGCTTTCCAAGCCTTATTTATTTATTTATTTTGAGACAGGGTCTTGCTCTGTCGCCCAGACTGGAGTGCAGTGGCGTGATCTCAGCTCACTACAACAACCGCCGCCTCCTGGGTTCAAGTGATTCTCCTGCCTCAGCCTCTCGCCTCCTGAGTAGCTGGGATTACAGGTGCCCACCAACACGCCCAGATAATTTTTGTATTTTTAGTAGAAACAGGGTTTCACCATGTTGGCCAGGCTGGTCTCGAACTCCTGACCTCAGGTGATCCACCCACCTCGGCCTCCCAAAGTGCTGGGATTACAGGCGTGAGCCACTGAGCTGGCCCCAAGCCTTTCTTAGTACTAAGGTTACCTATGTGACACACTCCTGGAAATAAAATGAAGTCTTCCCAGGAGCTCTAAGAAAGAGTTGGCATCTTTGACAAAAGAGGTGACACTGCCACTGCCACCCACCCATACTTTTGAATGAAGCTATAAGTCATGGAGCTACGAATGTCATCTTATGACCATCAGGGAAAAGAGGCCTCTTGACACCCTAACATCGATACACTTGCCTACATCCAGGCTTTCTATTTTGTGAGAAAAACTAACTGCTATTTGTTTAAGCAACTGTAAATAGTCTGTACTAACTGCGGCCTTAAAGAATTCCTTACTTATAGACCCACATCTTCCACCATTGGCTTGTGTTGCCATCTCTCATTGAGGTTATGTCTTCAAGATTCCCAGTAATACTATTTGGTGCCCCAGATTTATCCCTAGTAAAGCCAATGTTACTAGATAAAGGAAAAATACGTACTCATGGAGAATACACTAGGGTGCCAGAGAAAGAATACAGCTAATCATACCCTGTAAGATGGAATACAAGTAAAACATAAGGGATGCAAAATAATCAACCGACATCAGCTCCATAATTACCTTAAGTATAAGCTATACTCATGAACTTGCTAACAAATCTGCCTCTGAAACATGGTATGTGTGTGTCTCCCCCAGAATTCATATGTTGATACCTAATTCCCAGTGTGATGGTATTAAGAGTTGGACCCTTTGGGAGGTGATTAGGTCATGAGGACAAAGCCTTCATAAATGGGATTACTGCTCTTATAAAGAGGCTGCAGTGATCCCTTTTCCCTTCCACCATATGAGGGCGCAGCAAGAGGGTGCTATCTATGAAATGGGCTCTCACAAGACACTGAATCTGCTGATGCCTTGATCTTCCCAGTCTCCAGAACTGTGAGATCAATAAATTGATGTTGTTTATAAGTCACTCAGTTTATGGTATTTTGTTATAGCGGCCTGAGCAAAGTAAAACACAAAACTTTCTGCAAAAGCTGGCATGAGAGGGATATACTTCAGAATCGAGGTGCCAAAAACTCTCCGAATTGGGTAAACTGATCACAGAATGTATTTGCCTATTAGAATAAGGCTATTGACTGAGGTGGAAGGGTGTAGGTGTATGAAGGGTGTGAGCAAAGGTCTAATTCTTGTGTTCCGTAAGTGGGGTCATTGGTCACTGTGAATACTTTAAACATACTCATTTAACAATTCAGTTCTATTAATTCTAGAGCCTAAGAGGAAAATCAGTTAAGCCAGAAAAACTAATCTCACTGTAATGAAGTACTGCATTTTCATTATCTTAACTGCTATATTTCACCAAAATGCTTAAAAGTGGAATAACAAGCATGTCTTGTGTTTTTTACTGTTCAATGGAATGTAAAAAAAAAGATAATCAAGGTTATATTCAATGCCAACATCCTAGATGAAATAGTACCAATAAATTTTGAATTATTGACTGCATTTTCTTCGTTCCACTAATTACACTCTTCAGTGCAATTTTGGGCTCTTGGAAAAAAATGTATGCTTAGCAATACCAAAGAGACAAATGAAAATTTTTTGAAAGGACTATCAGTTTAGGGGTTTATACCACAAAAACTAGTGAATTTTAGTGACTACTTATTCCAAATCATGGTATTAATAGTCAATTATTGAAGCATTGAAATAGCATACTTTTTAAAGGTAGATTGTCTATTCCTATTCTACATAACAGTATAATTATTTTGCTAAAATGACAATAACAGTATCATCTCTCAGCCTCACTTTTTCTAGCTTTTCAATGAATGGTATTTTTGCTACAATACATGTATGAAGATTATTGATTAGATTATGTTATAGTAGAAAACCACAGGTTTTAAAAGAGGAGAGACCTTGGTTCGAATATTGGCTCTCCTTACACAAGTCATTAAATCTTTCTGATTCTGATTTCTCACTTTTAAAATAGAGCCACACTTTTTCTCTTGGATTAGCTTATGCATAAAATAAAATAATTGATTAAGTATTAGGCATCATATTGAAAAATAGAGATGTACTATGGTTTGAATGTGTCCTCTAAAAACATATGTTGGAAACTTAATCCCCATTGTATCAGTATTGGGAGGTGAGGCCTAGTACAAGGCTATTAGGCCATGAGGGCTTTACCCCTCATGAATAGATTAATGCTGTTATCACAGAAGTGGGTTTGTTTTAAAAGGGCAAATTCAGTCCCCTTTTCTCTTCATTTCTCTCACCCTCTTTGCCCTTCAGCCATGAAATGATATAGCAAGAAGGCCCTCGAGAGATGCCAACCCCTCAATCATAGACTTCCCAGCCTCCAGAACCACATGACAATAAGTTTCTGCTAATTATAAATTACCAGTCTTAGGTATTCTGTTATAGCAGCACAAAATTAAGTAAGACAGGATAGAGAGGGACATCTGGCTTCCGAGCGGGAACCCTCATAGCCCCAGCGACAAAAGAATTAAACATGGGTGATGTTGAGAAAGGCAAGAAGGTTTTTGTTCAGAAGTCCGCCCAGTGTCACACCATGGAAAAGGGAGGCAAAAGCGCAAGACTGGGCTAATCTGGGTGGTCTCTTTGGGCGGAAGACAGGTCAGGCCGTTGGATTCTCTTACACAGATGCCCATAAGAACAAAGCATCACCTGGGGAAAAGGATACACTGATGGAGTATTTGGAGAATCTCCAAAAGTACATTCCTGGAACAAAAATGATCTTTTCCGGCATTAAGAAGAAGACAGAAAGGGCAGAGTTCATAGCTTATCTCAAAAAAAGCTACTAATGAGTAATAATTGGCCACTTCCTTATTTATTACAAAACAGAAATGTCTCATGACTTTTCTATGTGCACCATAATTTAATAGATCTCACACACCAGAATTCAGATCATCGATGACTGACAGAATGTTTTTGCTGGGCAGTCCTGATTTAACTAAGACTGGGTTGTGGTTAAATGAATATGTTCAGTTTTTTGAATTTTAATAGTAGTTACAATTCACTAAATGCTATCGCTGTTTACTCCTTCTAAAGATATGACTGGACTTCATTAGTAATGTTCAACTTTTCACAAATATGGTGAATGCCATCTTAAAACTTATTGGAGTTTGGTTTTATATTTAGAGTTATATAACTGGTTATATTAATATATTTAAATACTGGAGAAATTCCTTCATTGTCTCAAAACCACCTGTGCTTTGTGTTCATTTGCCTCTAAAGGGTAAGGGCTGAAGATAAAGTAGCAACATCTACTTTATATTTTTGGCCTCAACTAGACCAATCTAATTAGAATTCTCTGTATCTAAAATGGTTCATTTTACTTACTGAAAAGCATTTTAGTGAGATTTATATGTAATATCAAATAAAGATTATTTAACACTTCTCACATTTTATAGATGATCTATAAGAGCAGATGCTTTTAAAATAGTAGCAAGTTAAACTTCATTCTTGAATTATTTACTATCTAAGTCAGACCAAGTTATAATTTAGGATTGTCTTTAAACAGCCATTCAGAAACATAAAGCTGTAGAACTGCTGTGTATTTATGATTGGGAATGGTGCTTTTGCCAACTTAAAAGAGTTAAAGTAGAGGAGATACACACAAATTCAAGAATAATGTGTGATCATAAGACTTAAAATAATTAAAAACAAAATCACAGACCAAAAAAAAAAAAATGAAGTAAGACAGAGTGCACAGAATTTGGTGATGTCTAAGGAAAAAAAAAAAGAGACAAAACCTGGGAACTCTTGACATGAACATCAGATCATCTGGACATGATGTTTACGAATACTCAGGGTTAGGATTAGCTAAGGATCACACAGTAGGCAAAGGAACTCCAGGGTATAGAAACAGAGAGAATAACCCACTTCTTCTCCACATCAATAGGTAGTATGAACCTAATACAATCTACTACCTGGAAGCAGGGCAGCTGAAATGAAAGGAGCCCAAATTTGGACTTAGAAATCATGCACCCCATATTAAGCATCATCGTTCTGCCTTTAGCAATTTTGGTAACTTACTCCTTTTAATAGATATTAACAATTTCTAAATTGGCAAGAAGTGGCTTTTTCCTATCCCTGTAATTTCCCAAATCAAAACACCATCAAATTCTCTTTGGTTTCAATAATGTTCCTAATTTTGCAGATGTATCCTTTGTTTAGTTAAAGTATTTCTCATTTTTCTAGTTAAGGTGACTGAGGAGCCTGAGAGTGAGCATTTTAAATGGTTATAGTGACTTGAAAAGAAGTTAGCAGATGTTTTCTGAACAAAAGCCTGAAAGGTCTAGGAAGGTGATCTCTGGATCTATGAGACTTTATCTAGTGGGGGAAGATAATAGGAATGTTCCAAAAGAAAATTATTCCCTCAGTGCCCCTAGTGGTGATATTAGAGATTCTCTAAAAATATATCTTGAACATTATGCTTTAGATTATCATTGAAAAGGCTATACCCTTCACATATTTTAGAGTCTACCTTTCTTCCAACAAGTTAAAACTGGTTTATGAAAGATGTTCACACATTTTCATATTTAAGCATATTATTTAAATTTGTAATATTATACTATTGATAATATGATTCAGAAGCATAATTTAGTAAACATTGAATACTGAAGTCTAATGCAATGAGAAGTAAACAAGACTAAATTCATTTTAAATTCAATAATTTCTCATAAATACAAATTCTGATTTGTAAAGACTAAAAATATGTTTCAAGTATTGTCTTCATACCCCTTCTTTCATTCCACCTTCCTATCTCCAATCATTTTGGTCATTACTAAAGCTCTTGAGATATCATTAAAAAATAATCAAAGGATATTTAAATATTAGATATTACTCTTTCCCTTTCTGCAATAAGCAGTATTTGTGTTGAAAATATTCTTTAAATGTATTTAATTCAGAAAATCACACATACAAATCCTGGTAAGAGCCTGAAGAGTACTCAGCCGAAACAAATAATGCAATTATGTGCTCAACTGGTTACTCAAATTTTAGGACCTTGTTCATAGGTAAAGAATTCTAATACTGGCAGTAATAATACAGACATGTTGTCACTTTATAAGTATATGACTTTGGTGTGTGTGTGAATGTACAATTTAGCCGTAGCAAAGATAAAATTTGGTTCAGGTATAAACTAGATGGCCTTTCAACAGGCTGTGTGGTATGCTTTAGGTTTCTTCACAATATTATAACTTGTTCTGGGCATAGGTTGATTGTACTTCTCTAACCATTTGAAGTTAGTTGTGACTTGCTTTGGCCTGTGCAATGTGAACAAAAGTGAAACACTTCATTTATGGGCACCAATGGAAGTTTTGAGAGCCTTTACACTCAGTGTTTCTCTGTGCCACAGCATTCAGTAACATTCTAGATGATGGCGATTTGAGCAGGCTGGGTTTTAGAGGGAGGATAACGTTGGAGCAGAGCCCAGAGCAAACGCAAGCAACTGTGTTGGTTTAAGTCACTAAGATTTGGAGGTCATATGTTCCTGCAGCACACCCTAGTTCACCTGAATACCACAGGTTGTTTCTTGAGACTCTATAACTCCACGTTATTTGGAGCTTTGAATTCAGAGTCTGAAATACAGTTAAAAAAAAATTACTGCTCAAAAAACATTTGTCACTACCAGATAGCTGGGAAAACTATGTCAATCAATGCCTGTTAAATGAGCAAATCTCTGAATCCTATCTTCTAAGTCCTTGAAAATATCTAAGTCAGTTATCAATTTGTGTACCTTTCTCAACCTGACAGTATCCAGTGAGAGACTGGAGATGATTGTAGTTCAAGATTTTCTTTTTCAGTTCTGTCTTTTGACTGAGATGATAGAAAACATAAATTTCTTTTATTCCACCACTGTCCAAGCCTTGAAATCAAAGGATTACACAGCGTCTGGATTAAACCGTCAGCTTGTACAAGTTTGAGCTAAGAAAAGGAAAAGTGTTGTTCAGTGTCTAAAACATTGTAGTACTCTAAATATAGAGTCATGGTGATACTTGAAACTTGTGAGGGAATGTGAAGAAAAGAAAATATAAACATAAATCACAAAATCTACTGGCAACATGAATGTACAAGTAATATTTGACAGAGGAGTAATCAAGATGGTGATAACCAGCCCTAATCAAATCAATAGTAGATGCATGAGAAGAATGTGAAATGCCTACATAATCATTTCCAGCAATTTAGGGGTGCTAAATGATGGTAAGCAATGTGACAAGGCACTTTAAGTATTTGATATGGTTTGGCTGTGTCCCAACCCAAATCTCAACTTGAATTGTATCTCCCAGAATTCCCATGTGTTGTGGGAGGGACCCAGGGGGGAGGTAATCGAATCATGAGGGCCAGTATTTCCTGTGCTATTCTCGTGAGAGTGAATAAGTCTCACTATGTCTGATGGGTTTATCAGGGGTTTCTGCTCTCACTTTTTTCTCATTTTTCTCTTGCTGCCCATGTAAGAAGTGCCTTTCACCTCCCACCATGATCCTGAGGCCTCCCCAGCTACGTGAAATTGTAGGTCCAATTAAACCTCTTTTTCTTCCCAGTCTGGGGTATGTCTTTATCAGCAGTGTGAAAACAAACTAATACAGTATTTAATCAAGACATAGAACAAGATCATGGTAATATATCTACCAGAGGGCAATATCGATACTTTCAAATTAAAAATGACTACAGCAGCATTTCCCCCAAATAATTCTGCAAAATTCTTCTTTTGGGAGTTATTAATGGGTGCACTGCAAAAATGTATTCTATGTAATGTATTCTTACATTAAAGATTCATGGCACATATTTAATATGGTAAAGATTCCGTGAAGGCCTGACATAATAAAACCTATTTAATCTAGTGTAATCTGGCATTTCCCAAACTTTTTTGAGAATGGAATACTATTTTGAGAGAAGGGAAGCAGCACTGTCTTTATTTTAGTGTGGGGACTTTTTTGTATCTTTTTTTAATTGAGTCTTACATTTTTCCCTGTTGTCATTTTCTGATGCTCACCACACCCCATGTAACCTGTGTTAACAACCTTATATGTAGATATGTTTATCACTCCATATTTGGTTGAAGGCTCATACAGTTCTACACATACGACATATAGATACAAGAAAGGTTTTATCCCCCTATTACTTGTTCCACAACATGAGATCACGTTTTACATACCTTACTTTAATATTTTATTCACACAACAATACGCATAGAAATCCCCTCCAATTCAGGTGATATAAGTCTAATTGATGCTTTTTAAATAACTGCATAATATTCCATCCTGTGAAAAAAACTGTGATTGTTTAAGCCACTCCCATATTTCCCACATCAAGAAGCAGTATCCTCTGCCGAGATGCTCCATGTCTTCCCTAATTAGCCCTTTTTCAATTACATGATTACTTTAGAATATTTGTACATTCTTCACATTTTCTAGTATTCCTACCACACTACCACCACCACAGCCACAAGTGATCTTTGGAAGACATTTATTTCCTCCTTTCCCCATCCCCAGATTCTAGGTTTTGTGAAGATAGCTTAGTACTTATTCAAATTTTCTCTGTATTAAGTTTATTCTGAGAGCCCTTATTTTCACTTTAACCCTTAAGGCATATGTTGCAAACTTTCTAACCTATTACATTAAGATAATGATAAGGATAGTGATAAAGATAGAGCTGGAAATATACAGATAGAGATAGAGATAGAGATAGAGACAGAGGTAGAGATGAATATAGATAGCTATAAAATTTTGCTCACCACAGTTTTTCTCATCTTCCTTCCTTTTATATTAAAGTTTCTCTTTTGGTTCCTTTAGTGTTTGGTTATTTTATTTTTTTCTCTCAAGTGTATTACTCATATGAGGTTCATGGACAATATAGTCTCTAAATTCCCAAACATTTCCAAATATCTGCTGTATCTTGACATATCACTGATATCTTGGCTGGAGGATAATCCTTGGGTTATGATCAGGCTTATTTATAACATTTGAGGGCCCCAGAACAATGACAAAACTAGAATTCAACATATCATATGCCTAAATATCTAAAAATTACACATACATATATCAGAATGTCAAATTTTATGTCAACTAAAAAATAAACTAAAAGTTATAAACCAAGTTAATAAATCATTAAACATGTTATAGTATCCTACCTTGATAAGCATGCCTTTATAACAACTGACAGTCTAGGTTCTAATCAATTATTTGGCTATAGTTCTGTATCGGAAAGTGGTAGTACAGAAAGGGCCAATTTCTGGCTCGTGACCATTGGCTCCAGGTGAGCACAGCCCCATGACTCATTAAATTCATTGCTCTATGAGGAGGGGAATAGCCAGAAAACGGTCAGAGTGTTTCACTCTAATAATCACAAGTTGGGGCAAGAAGCCCTTTTTCTTTGTTGTAAGAGTGATATTTGTTGTGGTGCTTTTTGTCAGTGGTCTGTAGATTCTATTCAAGAGCTTACAGCTTCAGTGTTGCAAATGAGAAATAAAATTCAAATTTGATATTTTTTTTCCTTTCTAGGTAATTTATTATTTCTGCATTAATGTTTCTAAGAGTTTCTGTTTATCCTTGGAAAGTTTAGCAAACAGCCCACATAACCTATTTTTGCATGGCCTGGAAGAAGGTGTATGATAAGTGGAATCACTGGCTTTGTGATTTGTAAAGAGCTTCTAGTAAGAGATTACTTCCTTCCTGATGGGAGAGTAGATGGAGTACTTTCTGCCATTAACACAGGCTAAGTGAGGCCAAAGGGTAGCTTCAAAAGAATAATTCAGAGAGATCATGGGTGCTTGCAAGAAAATGAGATGTCTCTCACTTCCCATATGAGGCTGCAATTTCTCCCTGGTAATGCCATGAGACAGGAGGATATTGAGAGCTCTTGAGAGCCCTTAAGACATTTGAGGCATAAAATAGCTTTGAAATATATATCCTCTTGTGGTCTAGTTAGTTCTAAAGGTAGGAGTTCTGCTGAAATTGTCTATAGCAGCAAGGCCAAAAGAGGTTATAGAGAGCTATGCCTTGGAAGAACATGGGTAAAACCCTCAGTCTTAGTTTTATGGACTTGGAGGACTTATAAGAGAGCCTAAGCACAAAGGGTGGAAGTTGTAGGACTACATAGAGAGATGCCATGCAAATAAGGTGACGCCCTACCTGGAGAGACTGAAGGAAGACACAACTGCTCCTTCCTGTGATAGTCTTCAGTATTAGAAGGGGGCCAAGATGAAGCAAAACAGTGCCTCAAGAAAGCCACACACTTCATATATGGGAAAACCACACAGCAGAAGATGCTACCAAGTTGGACAAAATGGGATCACCAGCCACAGCAGGTGACCAATAAATGATGTAAGAAGAACTCTGTGTACTATTTCCCTCTCCCTTCCTCAGCACAAAAGGAACTCCTTTAAGAAAAGAAAGAAAGTAAAATAATCTCAGAACAGTTGACTTGGACTCTTCCCCACCCTCTACCACTCATACCGGCCTCCAAGCAGCCAGGTAAGAGCTCTAGTCTGCACTAGAGCAGGAGATAGTATAAATTTTTGAATTTTTTTACACTCAATTTAACTAAATTTGATAGCTGAAAATAGCCACAAAGGAATGAAATCTGCTAAAGATGTTGCTAAGGGACAGGATGGGAGATTGAGAGAGCATGGTTAAAAGTAGGAGATTTCTTAAAGAACTACAAGTAGAACTACCATTTGATTCAGCAATCCCTCTACTGGGTATCTATCCAAAAGAAAAGTCATTATATCAAAGAGACACCTGCACACACATGTTTATAGCAGCGCAATTCTCAATTGCAAAGATATGGAACCTAAGTGCCCATCGACCAACGAGTGAATAAAGAAAATGTGGTATATACACACTATGTGTATATATAAAACAAAAAAGTGGTATATATATATATATGTATATATGTATATATATATGTATATATGTATATATATGTGTATATATGTATATATATGTGTATATATGTATATATATGTGTGTATATATATGCATATATATGCATATATATGTGTGTATATATATGTGTGTGTGTATATATATATATACTACTCAGCCATAAAAAGGAATAAAATAATATATTTTTCAGCAACTTGGATGGAGCTGGAAGCCATTATTCGAAAGTGAAGTAACTCAGGAATGCAAAACCAAATATCGTATGTTCTCATTTGTAAGTTGGAGTTAAGCTATGAGGATGCAAAAGCATAAGAATCATATAGTGGACTTTGAGGACTCAAAGGAGAAGAATGGGTGGGGCAGTGATGGATAAAAGACAACATATTGGGTACAGTGTACACTTCTCCAGTTATGGGTGCACCAAAATCCCAGAAATCACCACTAAAGAACTTCCATGTAACCAAAAACCACTCGTACCCCAAAACTATTGAAATATAAAATCAAATAAAGAAGTGCTTGGAAAAATAAACGTTGCATCACGTTTATATTTGTTAGAGCATCTCCTACCATTGGCAAAGATATAGTGATGGTTCTACCTTGAAGCCTTTTTTGATGCAAGTAAAACACTGTGTCTTGAATTATCATTATTTAAGTATTCCTCTTATCCTTTATGAATGGAAGTCCTCAGCTGTCAACATGTATATTTGATTATATTTGTGTTTTCCATTGTGATTAACAGAGCATTAAAATAACAGCTATTCTCATATAAGGATATGGTGGAATGCACAGATTTTTGAATCAGAAAGACCTGGGTTCAAATCCTGTTTTGCCATTTACTAGTTGTGCAGACTTGCCCAATTTACAAAATATAGCCTACACGTAATAAAAGTCTTATCGTTTTGTGAGGATTTAATAAGATACTATATTTTAAATGTTTAGTATGATGCTGGTCACACAGTGGGTACTTAGAAAACATTAACATCCCTTTGTCCCTTCCCTTCCCTGTGCTATTTACCTAGCTAAATTATTTGTTCTGGCATTCAGAGATAGGTTCACAATGAAGTACATGAAGCTTATCCCTCAGGGCCCCTTACTTTTCTGGGTCATTTGAAATAATACTTTTAACCCTTATTTCTCATTTGGACACCCAAATTGTATGAACTTTAGGCCCACTAAACCTGGATCAGCCTATTATGGCATTTAAAGTTTTTTCTTTGGTCAAAGCTTGATAACTCAGGAAAACTGGAAGAAACTTCAGTAGAATATTAAGAGGAATAATATGCAAATTAAAAAGAAAATAACTGTCCATTAAACCAGTAATTTTTGTTATTAATTAAAGCCTAAGTACTAGTGTAATTTAAAGTATTATAAATGCAATGCAAACATACAAAGCACATCAGGTTTAAGTTGTAGTCCAATTAGACAGTGAAGCGACATCAGAACTAGAAGAACCCAAGAGATCATCTAGGCCAGGAAAATGAACTCTTCTGACTTTCTGTAAGAAGAGAAGAGAATTAGCTTCTGGACATATTAGGTTTATATAAGATTTGGAAATACATAACCTTGAAAAACCCCCTTTCCCTTCTCAGAGTCTCAGTTTTTCTATCAATAAAATGAGAAGATTGGACTAGATGATTCTAAAGGGCCTTACAGTTCTGACATTATAAGTATAATTGACAAACAATATTATATGATTGTATGAATTAATCAACACCAATATACTTCATTATTTCATCCTATGACTTAAGCCAGTTTGGGAACTGTTTATACTTCCTCCTCTCTACTCAAAAGTACAAGTGTCAGTAAACAGTGAAACAGACTAATTAAATAAAATAAAGGAGTAAAAGAAACAATAGGCATCAATGTCTACCAAGAGAAGAAGAATTAAATCAACCGTGGTTATTTTTCTAACAGATTTATTAATTACAAAGCTTAGTTTTCCCATTGTTTCTCAGTTAAGACTAAACATCCTCAATTAAATGCTAGAATTCCCTTTAACACAGTCACTTAATCTCCCACAATGATATTGTCTGTCACTGTGACTGAGCAACAGCTTCAAAACACAATTTTAATTTTTGGCTTCTGTGAATTTTAAAAGTTCAATGTACAGTGGCTTAACACACCATGAGATTCCACTCTAAAGCTCTGGATGCCAAAATGAGCAGCCACCTGCTTCTTCTCTGATACACAGAAATTTAAGAACTTGGGAAATATTCACTATCTCAAGTCTCTCCTTTAAGTAGGCTTTATAAAACTATTTGAAAAGTTTTTAAAATTCATTTATGTGGACAGAAGGATGGATACATAAGTAGATATGTGATAAATCAAGTATAATAACATTTTAATGTTAGAACCTAGGTGGTGGAAATATAGGTGTTGATTGTACAATTTTTTTCAACTTTGTTATATGTTTAAAATTTTTATAGTATAAAAATTTTATATATCTCTTTGTATGCATATCTCTTCATACAAAGTTTGTAAACTTCAAATAACTTGAAAATCGCTAAAAATCAAATCATCTGACAAGTAGTTACTCTGCACCTAATTTAGCCAGACATTGTTCTAGGTCCTGGGGATACAGTGATGAACAAAATAGACAAGGCTCCTTTTTCTGGGAGCTTAGTGGACTCTGACAGTGAATTTTAAAATGTATACAAATAAATAAGATCATTTCAGAGATAAATGTAGGAAGATTTTTTGTAAGTAACAACATAATATAATAGAATAACAGATAAGGGGGATGCAACTTTACAAAGTACTAAAGCTAAGACAATGAGAGAAAAGCAAGGCTACTAAGATTTTTAGGGAACATAATTCCTAGAAAAGCATGTAGGAAGTGCAAATACCTAAGGTAGAAAGTAGCTTGGTATGTTGGAGAAACAGAAGGAAGGCCAGCATGGAAGAAAAAATACATATACATACACCTTTACATATACATATGTGTGTATATATATACACGCACATATACATATATATGCATGAAGAGAAAGGAGAAAGTGTGTGCACCAGTGAGCATGAGAGAAAGGGTGCCCCTTACAGAATTTGCTCTGGATTTTATATAGGGGGTGAGGATGATACCCTATATTTTTGTTTAAGGAGATGGATGAATGTAATGCTAATTGTTGAAATGGGTAAAAATAGGAGAGGAGTTGTTATGAGGTGAGGCTGAAAGGGCAGGGATTCAATTCTCTTTCTGCCATGTTAAGTTTAAGAAAGCTCTCCAAATGGCATGTAGGTAGCTGAAAATATGTCTGGAACTTGAGAAGAATTCAAGCTAAAATATGAATTCACAGAATTGTAAAGATATAGATAGAATGTAGTCATGGGACTGAAGAATGTGAGTACAGTTAGAGGGGGAAACCGGGCCAAGAATGAAGCCCTGAGCGCTCCAACACTTAAAAATTGGGAAGAAGAGGCCAGGCGCAGTGGCTCACGCCTGTAATCCGAGCACTTTGAGAGGCCAAGGCGGGCAGATCACGAGGTCAGGAGATCGAGACCATCCTGACCAATATGATGAAACCCCATCTCTACTAAAAATACAAAAATTAGCCAGGCATGGTGGCATGCACCTGTAGTCCCAGCTATTCGGGAGGCTGAGGCAGGAGAATCTCTTGAACCCGGGAGACGGAGGTCGCAGTAAGCTGAGATCGCGCTATTGCACTCCAGCCTGGTGACAGAGCGACACTCCGTCTCAAAAAAAAGAAAAAAAAAGAAAAAAAAAGTTAGGAAGAAGAGGAAAGGCATATACAGGATACTGACAAACAGTAGCCAATGAAGCAGGGGTGTGAGCTGGAAAGGCTGGTGACGCTAAAGCCCAGAAGAGAAGAGTATTTCAGAGGGCTTAGCTCACTTCGTTAACTATGCTTAGAGGTTGAATGAGTTGAGAATGGAGCATTAACCACTGGATTTAGCGCCATGGAGGTTGTCAGTAACTTTGACCAGAGCAGTTTCTGTGGAATGGAGGGGACACAAGCCTAAATGAGCGTGAATTTGAGATAACAGTTAATATGGAAGCAAATACAAACATGTTGAGTTTTTATGTGTAGGAAAGAGAGGATTTAGAAGGAAGGGGTGAAGGAAAATTAATTTAAGAATCAGAGCTATTGGGACTTTTTTGCTGCTGAGAATAATTCTGCAGAGAATGAGACACTGATAATGCAGGAGAGAAAGGAGTTGGTTGAGAAACTGCAGTTCTCAAACATGCAAGAAGGGATGGGATACAAGGTAAACATGGAGAAGAGAACCTTTAGTAGGGATGATGGTGTTTCTTTCTTCTATTATATTGGACAGAAGATGGAGAATGGGTGTAGAGACAAGTTGCCTGTGCGATTAAGTGATGAGAAGATGCAGGAGTTCCTATTTGGATGTTTTTATTTACTCATATAATATTTAAAATAAATGTAATCGTTACGAAAGATCAAACTCCTAATGCTTATTAGGCACATGAGAAATGAAATGGTTATAGGGGTAAATTTCAGATATGCTAGATCCAGACTACATGAAATTTTATTTATGGAAAGTACTATAGTGTCTATGCCTCTTTCCACTGGATGCTATTTTTGTAGATCAGATTCCAATCTAGATATTATGCGCCCCATAAAAAAGAAGAGGAATATAACCTCCCTGCCACTCTCCCACCAATCGCCTCAGCAAGGAGAAATCACTAGCAGAGGGAGCATTCAAGAAGCAGAAATCTGCAGACCTATGCAAATAGAAAGATGAGCCATTTTCTGGAAAACAAGAAGGCATCTTGCTAATCCAATTTAGAGGGAAAAAAAATCTTAGAATCAATCGAGGAAGAGTTGTTATTTACAAATCTGTACTTTAAATAATTCCAGGCCTGGCACGTTGGCTTATGACTGTAATCCCAACACTTTGGGAGGCCGAGGCGGGTGGGTCACCTGAGATCAGGAGTTCCAGACCAGTCTGGCCAACATGGTGAAACCCCATCTCTACGAAAAATACAAAAAAAAAAAAAAAAATTAGCCAGGTGTCGTGGCAGGCACCTGTAATCCCAGCTACTTGGGAGGCTGAGGCAGGAGAGTCATTTGAATCCGGGAGGGGGAGGTCGCAGTAAGCCGAGATCGTGCCGTTGTACTCCAATCTCGGCAACAAGAACAAAACTCCGTCTCAAATAAATAAATAAACAAATAAATAATTCCAGATGTAAAGAGACCAAGAATTATTTGTAATTATTAATAATCAATATCTTGCTACAAGAAAGAAATCCATTCCAGGATGGACATTAAGACTCCAAAATGTGGGATTCAAAATGATGCTATGCAGGACCTGCATGAAGAAGAAATAAAGACTTAAAAAAAAACAAAGGGAGCCATTTGTTCTTCAGGGTTTCAGCACTTCTTGTCGAATGGGAGTAATAAACTAATATAGGAACACTGTTTTTTCCTCAATCATTGTATTATGTTTATAAATCCCAAGTTAAAGAGGCCCTTCAAAATTCCTGTTACATACGTATCTGGACTCGTAATATGTTAACTGACAATTATATTCCAGGTTGGGGACTTGATTATCAAGGTCATGTAAGCAGTGCCTCTCATAAAATGATGTTATGATGGCATTTACTCCATTATGGATGTGCGACACATGACAAACATATCAGCAATTTGAAACCTATGTGTGGATCAGTTTCCAGATCTGTGAAAAGATGGAGTTAGAGAAAGTGAACTTTATGGTCTAGACGAGGTCTAACAATGTACTATTCTAAGCATTGATAACTACTTTACAATGTTTATCAGTACTGTTTACCTTATAGTTTAAATCATATGTTCTTCAGTGATTTTCAATAACCATTTATCAATCTCAAATCTGTATTTAGTCCTTTCTTCTGATATTATCATTTTCTTTTTAGAGAATATACATTCAAATGAAGATGGATATTGGTCTGCTTGCTTTTGTTTTTCTAAAAAGACTTCCCAGTACTTGTCCTCTTAGATGCCCTCAGCACTCTTCTGTGAAGTAGATAAAGGCAGGATCTGTAATGAACTAATCATAAGAGAGTAATGGCCAAATATTAATTCCTTGTTTCTTCAGCCAAAAATGCTTTTTACATCACTCTAATATGATGACTCAACCACTTCTAGCTTGTGCAACCAGAACCCATGTATTGAACACAAAAGCTTATGCTGAAGCCCATAATTGCTTTAGAAGTTGAGCAAAGTAGCTTCTTAAAATCTATTAGTCTGGAGATGTGACTTTTAGCAAGTGTAGACTAAATATTGAAGTGGTAAAAAGTGTTCACTTCAAACAAAACTGAAAGTCTTTAAAAATAACTGTTGTACACAAAACAGACACATAGAATGGGATCATCAAATCTGTTTCCATCTGATCCTTATTCTTTCTTGCATAAAATATATGCTACGTAGGGTATAGACATCCAGGTTACCATAGTGAAAAGAACATATGTTTATTAATCGGCTTTAGCCATTTGCTAGCTGGCAGTCATTGGACAAATTGAAATTCAATTTCCTTACCTGTAAAAAAGAGATTTTGTTATAAAGTCAAACGAGACTTGATATATAAAGGTCCTAGTACAGGACCTGCCATTAAGAAGATACTCAATAAATAGCTTTTGTTACCACTATTTTAGTATATTACTTGCTTATGTATACCATCACGATGGTATGCTAGCAGCTTCTTATCTCCCTGGCTGTACAGGTGATGTGTATATGTGTAAGCCTGCCTGCTCATGTGTACATGTGTATGCATAAGGAGAGGTCAATTTTAAATATAGAGAATTTTAAGTAAATCCTTCAGAGGAAGCACATTGTCTGTGTTGAAATCATAAAGGATTGCAAAAGAGAACACAGAAACATGACAGAAAAACAGTTATTGGTCTCCAGATGAGGATCTGAACGGACACCCCAGATTCCACCTTTAAAAGTCCATCTCTTAAAAGATACACAGTGAAATCCTCATTGACTTCAGAAAATCTGTCATTTCCTTCTGGCTTTAATAATTGCATTAAATTTAAACTGCAATGAGGCAAGGTATTATCATTTCTTATTTTCTACTGCCCCCTGGAGTCAAAGGCAAAAACAACATGAAATTTGACTTCTGGAATAACTCAGTGGGGATCATTCAAAAGTGAGAATGCACTATGACACTCCACAATATTTTACCCTTGGGTCAAAGATACATATAAATCACATGCTTCATATGTACAAACTACAGTAAATAGAAACTGACATCAAATGCAATAACAAGGGAAATCCTAAACTCCAGAGTGGTGCATTTTTAAAACTTTATTAAATGGTTTCTTAAATTGTGGACGAAGGCTTCAATCGGTGATCACATTGATGTAAAATAATGGTGCAGCATTTAACTTAGAAAGATAACAGAAAAAATGTGGAATATGTTTAATAAAATATAAAATGAAATCATGATGGGAAAATCACTTAAAAATAAGCAAGGTCCACTGCACAATGTGAGAATCAAGCAAAGAAAGAACACAAATTAGAAGCAATTATAACTAACAAGCAAATTGATAACCAAGTGCATATAAGCAAGCCTTCAATGATTTTTTAAGTCAGAAAATAAAATTAACTACTATATAACAAGACATTCATTTGGAAATCATGTCTTTGAAACATCCCCTTAACTGCCCCTCAATTATGTCCTCAGTGTTAATCATTTACTTTGAAACACTTCTGAGACTTCATTTTACTCTCTTTAATGTTTTCCTGTGTACAAGGGTTCTCAAATAAATTGATTCAAATTATGTTTAGATAAATGTATGCACAATAGTTCATTATAATCATTGTTATTATACTAAGGGAAGAGTCTTGTCTGTATTAACTTTCTTTAAATGAGTCTGTCAGAATACTCATTAGAGCAATAATTTATTTCAGGTCAATTCTTATTAATCAAGTAATAAGAAAGACAGTATTATAAATATCTTTTAAGGTTCTCTACTTCACAGTTAGCAGTGCAGGAGGAGAAACATTTTTAAATCAAATATTTTAATTGAAATTTATTGTTTTCTTTAAATCTACATTCCTCTAAAACTCATAATGAAAATGTACCCAAAAGTCAAGTGGATATTTTAATAGTCATTAGGCATACAGAAATAAGACACAGACCCTGTTTCAAAGGAGGAACTACATAAATACATATACAAATATACCAGGAAATATGTGTTTAACTGCTCTCCCCATTTTCCTTCCCAGCCAGAAACAGATGGCCTGGGAGTAATAAGAAAGTAAGAAACGATCAAGAAATTGACAACAATAACAACAACAGAAAAACCACTTCCTCTTAAAGAGAAACCAAAATCTAAAACACATGGAGACATATAGGGACAATGAGCAAAATCAACCATCTGAATAGGAATTTATTCCAGATGCAATTAGTTATATAGCATAGTTAGTCCAGTGGCCCTCCTGTTAAATCCAGCTCAATGCCTGTCTTGTAAATAAAGTTTTATTGGAATACTGCAATGCACATTCATGTATGTATTGTCTCTGGCTGCTTTTGCACTACAAGGCAGAGTTCAGTAGTTGTAACAGAGACTGTATAGCCTGCAAAGCCTAAAATATTTACTATCCTGCCTTTTATAGAAAAAGTTTGCCAGTCTTTGAACTGGAGAAATATTTTAAAGTAAGTATTCTTTACTTATGCTCAAAGACCTAAATAAAGCATCACAACCATTTTTAAAAAGTAGTTAAGAACAATGGGAGAAATGAAACAAGAGCAGATGAATATAAGAAAAGAAAATGTTAAAAATCGTGTTGATCAGGCATGGTGGCTCATGCCCATAATCACAGCACTTTGGGAGGGAAAAGTAGGAGGCTTGCTTGAGGCCAGGAGTGTGAGACCAGCCTGGGAAACATAGTGAGACTCTGTCTTTACAAAAATAAAAATAAAAAACTATTCGAGTGTGGTGGCACATGCCTGTAGTCCCAGCTACTTGGGAAGCTGAGGCAGGAGGATTGCTTGAACCCAGAGGTTGAGGTTGCATTGAGCAATAATTGCGCCACTGCACTCCAGTGTGAGTGACAGAGAGAGACCTTGTCTCGAAAAATAACAAATAAATATCAATCAATCAATCAATTAAGTTCTTGTAAAATAAATAAAAAATGGGCAAAAGATTGTAACAGAAAACAAACACACATACTCAAATGGTCAATAAATTTGAAAATATGTTAAACCTCATCAGTAATCATGGAAATGTCAATTAAAATGAGATATCATTGCATATCTCTCAGAATGACCAACAAATACAATTCTGAAAATACAAATTATTGGTAAGAAGAAATACAATTATTAGTAAGAAGGAGAAACAAACACTAAAACATGTTTCTTTCATTACAATTGCTTTGCAGAGAAAACTAGCCCTTGTGTCTAGTAGAGTTGAAAATGTAAATACTCTATAAGCCAGCAATTCAACTACTAGATGTGTACCTTATAGAAACCCACCACATACACTAAGGCAACTGGTACATTATTTGTAGCAGAATCATTGTCAGCAGTAGAGTATTGAAAACAAATATTGTCTCTATTACCTAGATCTCAGATAAGCCTACATAAAATTAACCCAAAAATTAAGTGGCTTTATTTTTATTTTTTATTTTATTTAATTTATTTATTTATTTATTTATTTATTTATTTATTTATTTATTTATTTTTGAGACGGAGTCTCGCTCTGTCGCCCAGGCTGGAGTGCAGTGGCGCGATCTCGGCTCACTGCAAGCTCCGCCTCCCGAGTTCACGCCATTCTCCTGCCTTAGCCTTCTATTAGCTAGGACTACAGGTGCCCGCCACAAAGCCCAGCTAATTTTTTGTAGTTTTTTTTTTAGTAGAGACGGGATTTCACCGTATTAGCCAGGATGGTCTCGATCTCCTGACCTCGTGACCCGCCCGCCTTGGCCTCCCAAAGTGCTGGGATTACAGGCGTGAGCCACCGCGCCCGGCCAAAATTAAGTGACATTAAAACAATTATTATTTATTTTTGCTCCCATGCCTAATTCAAAGCTGAGATTCTCTTTCTAAATTAGCAGACTTGACACTTCCTATTCTTCACTGGACATTGTAGCTCAATCACGAGATTCCTACAAGAACCTAGGGTTGTCAGGGAATGATACAAAGGTAAGATACACTTCTGGATAAGCCTAGGATCTAGCGAGACAACTCAGGCACACAGCAATTATTCAACAAGTGTTCTTTGAATTGAAGTACTTCACTTCCCAAGCTTGATAGAACTAGGTGTTGCAATACTTCAAGCCACAGGGAATCCTTATGTGGAAAACAACTCTACATAGCCATAACTGCGGAATAATAATAGAACATATTTTAAATGGCAATTAATACATCCTTCTCCACAATCCCTAAGTCTTTACCTAGATATGATTGTTCTCTCTGTAGCAAAGTAGAAGAAAGTGGGAAAAAGAATCACCCTAACTTTTCTCATTATTTTCCCACTTCCAACCAGATTCTAATGCCTTCTCATTTACTGTCAGCTACAGGCTTTCTCCCGAGGCCCTCATTGATATTCACTGGGCATTTTGATATGAGAATTAGGATATTTGTAATCCAATTCCAACGATCATCCTAGGATAATTCACGGTTTGTGTGGACTTACCATGTAGCCACCAAGCCTCAGTTCCTTCATTTTTTAAACTACATTGACCTTCAATGCTACACAACCACAGCCATCTGCATCCAAGGCCTCACTCAGAAACACTCTGGAATCAACTCATCTGCTGGAAAGAATGCCAGTAAATAAGTCTTGTTCTTCCTAGTTCTCACATACTCGATCTGACTCTGACCACCTCTGTTCTTCAGCTTCACCAAGATCATTACTGTCTCCCTTGATCTTACAGTTTCCCCCAGCCAATTGTCAACCTACTGGCCTCTCCTGTCTCTATATCATACCTAGTTCCCATGGTTTACCATCTGGATTTCTCTCTCACCTGTACCTTTTACTCCTATCCACTGTCGTACTCACCTTGTAAAAGCTCTACCATGGACTAGTGCCATGTCACGCCCCCACCACTCATGCATCTTGGCAGCTGCACACTAGTGGAGGTGATCAAGCACTACAAACTGATCTTTAGTCTTCACAAGGCTTTCAGTACTGCTTGTGATTACCTCTTATCCTTTGCCAGCATGTTCCAAATGTTCACAACTATCAGCCTCCTACTCAAACTCTGTACTCATGTTAAGCTGTCAATTTAGCTTCCTGGTTCATCATCAAGAAACATGACTCAATCTGATGTGTTCTTCCTTAATTTTCTGTCCATTATTAAATTAACTGCATGCATGTCTATCCTCATATTGTTTTTCCAGTCTCAAAGGATGAAATATCCCTACTCTTTTTCAAGGCTAGTGCCTCCCCTGTGCCTTCAATAACAGGCCTTCAGCAGGACCAGGACTAGGGTGAAGCAAGAGAGGTGCCCAGGGCACAAGATGTAAGGAGGCCCATCCTTGAATGCTGACTTTACACTTGTATGACCCTGGGAGCGATTGCATGCTTACACTTTGTGCCTTGGAAGCTTAATTTGCCTCACCCTAATTTAGTTCTTGCCCTCACCCTCCTCCAAAGGCCTGATTCATCATGCATCCACACTTCCTCTATTTTTAACCTCTCTCTACTACACAGTCTTTCTACTCATCCTACACAATGTTCAAGTCATGCTCTGTTTCTTTATATTGTGAATTTCACAAAATGCCTTCTTCCATAGAGGTCGTGACTGGTTTACGACCGTTTGTAACTAGGCACTTGTGATGGTTAATTTTATGTGTCAACTTGCCTGAGTTAAACGATGCCCAGGAAACTGGTAAAAAATATATTTCTGGGAGTGCCTGTGAGGGTGTTTCTGGAAGAGATTAGCATTTAACTTAATAGACTGAAAAAAGCAGATCTTCCTTCCCCAGTCTCATCAGGCATCATCCAATCTGTTGAGGGCTTGAATAGAGCAAAAAGGCACAAGAAAGGCTACTTCACTCCTTTCTTGAGCTAGGACATTCATTATCTCCTGTCCAAGGACATCTGAAGTAGTGGTTCTCATACCTTCAGACTCAGACTAAATTACATAACTGGCTTTCCTGAGTCTCCAGCTTGCAGATGGCAGATTTTGGGACTTATCAGCCTCTGTAATCGTATAAGCCAATTCCCATAATAAATATCTCATATAAATTATATATTCTATTCATTCTGTTTCTCTGGAAAATTCTGGCTAACACAGTAGTTGAATATGAATAGTTTTGGTATTCAGTAATAGGAAGTAAATTTGGCTCTCCCACCTTGTCAACATTCTCTAATAGCAACTTTGTCATTAATAAGGATGATACTTTGGTTTCTTTGTGTCCTAGTCATTAGTCTTTTTCCCCTGAATTTATTCAGAATCTAGACAATGAAAAGGATTGCTATTTATTCAGCACTCCTCATAGTCCCCAACATCTACATTCCCATCTAAATATGCTATTCTTTGTGTCTAGAATCAAAACATGACCCAATTTAAGTCAATCAACTCCTATTCATCCTTCAAACCTCAGTTATTGCCTGAGAGAAGCCCTCCTCCATCCTAACCTGAAACTAGGTCACATATGCCTATAAGTTCCTCTAATACGAGATACCTCTCGTTTGCATCAATTACTATGGGGTAATTTTCTATTTCTTTGTTTAATTATCTGATTATCTGTCTCTTCTATTAGCATGTAAGCTCTCCCTAAGAGGGCTGTTTTAACTCACCATATATCTGAAGTTCCTAGAACAATGCTTTGCACATTCATAGGTGATGATCAATGCACATTTTCTGAATGAATTACTGAATAACAAAGTTTAGTTCTTACCTCCTCTAGAAAGCTTTCCCTAACAGGCCTAGACTGGGTGTCCGTCTTCTATTTTCCACAGCAGAAGTGTGTTTCCTTTTCATTTATCTGAGCACAAGACACTATAACTGTTTATAACTTTGTCTCCATGACTATCTCCTGACCTTTTTGAAGGCAAGTGTTTAATTATATTCACCTTGGAATCTTTAGCACCTATCACAGTCCCTTCCTGGGATAGATGAGCAACAAATTTTTATTGAAGGAATGAAATTATGTAGGTTTTTTTCCATAACAAAAGTTGTAGTCTTTAAAAGTTAGGTAGCAACGAGAGTTGATGAAAACAGTTCAGTAGGTCTGAGTGTGCACATCTAACTGCAGGAAGTTAACAAAGCTAACCCTTGGAAAATGTCCTGATATTTATAGTTGATGGCATATGGCAGATGAGGATATATGATAAGAAACCAAGTCTTTTACCTTCAGTAAATAACCAACTCCAGGTGTCTTTTTTACCAAGATAGTTATGCAATTTTAACACATTTTTCAAATGCCTAAGCAACGTCAGGTACCTAGAGAATAATACCACTGCCAAAAGTAATGGAACTAAAATTTAATTTGTAGAAAGAAAGCCAGAACAAAGTTAAAAAAAAAAAAACACGTAAAAGTGACATCATTCTTTCTGAAAAATATAAAGATTCCAAGATACATTCTTCAAAAGCATAGGGGCAAAAACACCTTTTCCAAATTCAAAATGTTATAACCATATCCAGAGAAAGAGTAAATACTAATATCAGAAGGCTTAAAAAGTATAGATTATATATCACTACATAAAATTATTTTATATGCATCCTATCATTTAAGTTACAAAATCTCTACAAAAGTATCATTATTGATTTAGTTTTATAACAAACAAAACTGAGGTATACAAGGCTAAGATGATTTTTTTTTTTTTTTTTTTTTTTTTGAGACGGAGTCTCTCTCTGTGGCCCAGGCTGCTCACTGCAAGCTCTGCCTCTGGGGTTCACACCATTCTGCCTCAGCCTCCCGAGTAGCTGGGACTACAGGCACCCGCCAAGGCTAAGGTGATTTAAGATAGCATAATTATTAACTTTATGATTCTTATTATACTATATCATGCTGCCTCCCTAACAGTGAGAGTAACTCAATGTATCTTTAACTCTGTCACAAAATTTATAAGAACACCATATAAACCCTAATAGCTAATTTATACCCTAATATTGTATCCCTATTAATATGATCCAATATTTTGGATAAAATGGCTAGAAATACCCTTCACATGTATGATGGCACTCTGGAAAAGTCTGTAGTGTGATTTACAGTGGGGATTTTGTTGAAGACTTTTTATGACCAAATAATTTTCTTTCAGTCTTGGATATTCATATTCTTGTTATTGCTTGTTGCCCCAGAAAATAAATATACTATACAATAACAATTTTTTCAACTCCAAATCTCAATTTTGCTTAGTTTTAAGGCCTTAAAATTTTGATATTTGATCCTTTTCTCTTAAATACTTCAGAATCTTTAAATTATCTTTAGCAAACACTTCTTCAAAACATGTGCTGGGATACCACTTTATAACATAAATTTTTGACTTTTAGATAAAATGATAATGTGCTATTCACTCTTTTTTTTTTAAAAAAAAGAATGCTTATTAGTGCTAAGAAAGGCTTCAAAGTACGCTGCTTCAAAACATTAAAATGCTATAAGAATTCTGGCCATTTAGAAAATAACGTAGAAGGTAGAACAAGTAAGGAAAAAGAAACACTTGCTCCCATTAGCAAATGCAGTAGGCAGCAACCATTCTTACCCCAAATACCTTCCTGTTGGTTTGTTATGCTATATTTTATATGCACTTGTATATATTATATATAATATGTATACATATTATAAAACCATAGCTAGCACATCAAACTTGTGAATGTACTGGTATTACCACCTAGAACAAAGCAAAAGTAAGTGGAAATGGTAGCAATGAGTTGATTCAAATAAAAATGTAAAGTAAATGATAACACAGGTAGTTCAACAGGTATGGGAAAAGCCATGAAGATGATAAAAAAATGCCAAATCTTTGGGGAAACCTTGGTTAAGAAAGTATGTCTTCAGGTAGTCTCTTTTGTAGGCTCTCTAATTTTTGAAGATATGAGCGTGATACATAGAATAAAGCTATTCCGTATCAATTCTGTCAAACCAAATCCTAGAAGATCATGGAACAGGACGCAAACTGGCAGGTGGTGGAAGGGAGAAGGCAGGAGAGAGAAGGGCAAGGAAGCACAGAATCATGGGACTCTACTCAAGGTTTGGAATAAAGATTGAGTGTACCTGGGAGACAAAAAAGGGGACCATGAGAAGTGATAGAGACTCCAGAAGACAGCTGTCTAGTCCCAGTGGAAAGGATAAAGCTGAGTACAGTGTACTTTCTATTACTCGCATAGTACACTTACCCAGGGTCCCTGAAACAACTGGTGTAGCTGAAATATGTCTTGCCCTGGGATGAATTCCTTCCAGGAAGACTTCACAGTCACTCATGATAAATGGATCCCCAGAGGTCCTACCCGACAGACCTTTCACATATGCCCATCTGTGTCTGAATCCTAGGCTAAACACAACATACACTGCCAAATGGAAGTGCTATAAAGAATCCGCAAATAATACAATTTAATGTAGCAAAACTATGCATACTTATTCTAAGAAAAGGAATTAAGGGAGTGCCAAGGGCGTAAAGAGATTTAAGTGAAATAAACACCACAGTGCACTGCTTTTTATTTATGTGCAAACTCTTTCTCTTAGGAGTATATCTTAGGAAGATTTACAGAAACCAACTGATGAAAAATGAAAAATGGTAAAATGACACTAGTACAGTAAATACTGATGGAGATTATGAAAGCATGAATACACATTTGCAGGGTTATTTTAAAGATCAGTGAATTGCACTGAAATTGTAATTGAAACAAAAATGAAAACAAAAATATTAAATCCCATTTCTAATGCAGGTGTCACACGATACTTTGATAAGTTTATTGAGTATTTTTAGTATTATATAGTGCTATGTGTTTGAACAGGTAATCATAATTCCATCAGTTACCTACTTCCTACCTGCAAACTTCTTTGCATCCAAACCATTCTTCCCCTGCTCCCTTCTAAGCACAATGCCTGTTTACCTTCCTGTGCTCTTAATCCTACCCCCTGTGGCCTCTTCACAGACTGTTCTTCATGAATTTCTCAATATCCTTAAGTCACTTGAATATCTCTCATTTTACTGATGCCTTTCTAACAACACTTAAACATGTTCAATTAAAAATAAACAATATTATTTGATCCTACATCGCCCTACATCTACCACTCTGTCTTATGCCTCCGCTTCACAGAAAAAGTTATTTCAAACAAGTTTATAGAAACAAGGAGCAGAATGGTGGTTACCAAGGACTGGAGGAGAGGGGCGAGGTTCTGGGGAGACATTGGTCGAAAGATATCAAATTTCAGTTAGACAGGGGAAATAAGTCCCCAGATATCCATTGCACAGCATGGTGATTATAGTTAATAACAATGTACTGTATAATTGAAATTGCTAAGAGAATAGATTTCAAGTGCTCTCATCACAAAAAGTGATAAGTATGTGAGGTAATGAGTATGCTATTTGCTTGATTTAGATATTCCACAATGCATATATATATATATATAAACATCATTTGTACACCTTATCTTTTTTATTTGTCATTTAAAATAAATAGGAAAAAATTCAAGAATTGTCTATATTTGCATTCTCCACTGTGAAAAACTTTGCAACTCCCTAGAATTAACAGATGACCTGTTTTTTTTTTTTTTTTGGACAGACCTATTTATGTTTCCTGTCCCAGTGTTATTATTAATTGTGCCTTCTTTCATTCTCTAAAATGAAATGAGTTGGATAATAAAATTATATGGTCACCCTATATCTGTAACAACATGTTAAAAATATTTTTTGAAAAAGAAAATGTACAATTCTCATAGGAGCAAATAGCAGCATAAATACATACATACATACAGTACCTAGGAATAAGCAATGTTAACCAGTTTTAGAGCCATTTTCAATATTCTACCAAGAAACATAAATATGGCAAAAGCTACACTGTGACCAAGAATTAGACTATCTAAATATAGTGAGGAAGAAATTATTTGAATGAAATTGTAATGACAGTCCAAGTGGGATTTTTCAGAAAATTTTACAAGATGATGCACATTTTTTTTTACAGAAGCAAATGCCAAATAAGTATTTGAAGAAAGAATAATCCTCAGAGGAAAAGTAGTGATAAGAAAAACTAAACTAAGTTATAAAGTTAAAATAATGCAAATCATATGATAAGGAGCGTGTGACACGGAAAAAAATAAATTTACCAGGGGTGAAATAAAAAACATAAAAAAGTCTATTTTGACTTGACCTCAAGGTATACATTAATATTATTGCCAACATATGAATTGACAGTAATACATATATATATAATAACACTTACAGTGTAATATACTGATAGTGAATGCACAAATATTTTGTATTGGTGGACATGTGTGATCAACAAAGATTGAAGACTCTCTACTAGATAATTCAGAAAAAGATCTTGTCATGTATAAAATATAATATATAATAAAGAAAATCGTAAAGTCCTGGAGAAGAAATAAATGAATGACACTGGTATAATTTCTTAGCAATTGAGGAAATTATGTATTCATCTTATTTCATGCAGCAAAATAAATTGCAGTTAGATGACAAAAAAATTAAAATCAATTAATCAGTAAAACCTTAGAAGATAAGAGAAATAAACTTTTTCAAGTATAAATGTGTGACATTCTCAATTTCAAAGCAGAAAGAAACTTCCATTGTATTTTTTACTAACTCTATTCTTCAGAATTTCTGGATTTTTTTTATATTTTCTCTTCGTTGAAATTCTAGTTTTGTTCATGTGTTATTTTCTGATCCCATTGAGTTGTTTGTGTTCCTTTGTAGCCTATTGAGCTTCCGTATAAGAGTTATTTGAAATCTTTGCCAAGTAATTCATAGTTCTCAATTTCTTTGAGTCAGTTGTGGAAAATTATTGCATTCATTTGATGGTTTCATATTTCCTTGATTTTTAGTATTCCTTGAAGTCTCAAGTTTTGGGGTTTTTGTTTGTTTGTTTGTTTTGTCACATTTGAAGAAATAATCACCTCATCCTTCAGTCTTCACTGACTGGTTTGGAAAGAAAAAGGCTTTCGCCACTCAGCCAGATTAGGGGTTCTGGGGGTCTCAGGCCTCTTCTATGGGTGGACCCACTCTATTCTTCTTGTTCTCTCTTGGGAGCAGGAAAAGTTTTAGAACTGTATGCGTTCTCTCAATCCCAAAAAGCCAGGCTGGATGCTGATAGCCTCCATTTCTTTTCCCTAGGGAAGTCCCCTAACGTGTTCAAAGTTAGCACTGTCTCCCAATCCAGCCATACTGAATTGTCTGTAAGAGCTCATGCACGATGAGAAACTACAAATGAATCCATGCATTTATGCTCAACCGATCTTTCACAAAGATGCAAAGCCTTACAATGGGGAAAAGGTTATGTTTTCAATAAATGTTGAAGTGAAAACTGGACATTCACATAAAAAAAAAAGAACCCTTATTTAACACTATTGTAAAAAATCAACACAAAATGGATTAAAGACTTAAACATAAGACCCCAAACTGTCAAACTATTAGAATAAAACCTAGAGAAAAAGCTTCTTGACTTTGGTCTGGGCAATAATTTTTTTAAATACGATCTCCAAATCATAGGTAACAAGAGTAAAATAGACAAGTAGAACTACATCAAACTTTAAAACTTCTGCGTATCAAAGGAAACATTCAACAGAGTAAAGAGGCAATCTATGAAACGGTACAAAGTTTCAGCTATACAGGATAAATACTTTCTGGAGGTCTAATGTATAGCATGGTGACTATAGTTAATAGTACAATATTGTACACTTGAAATTTGGTAAGATAGCATATCTTAAATTTTCTCAGCACCAAAATAAATGCTAACTATGTGAAGTTGTGGATATGTTAGTTAGCTTGATAATGGTAATTATTTCACTATAAATATATATATATGTTTTTACAGTATTGGTATATATACATATATGAATACATCATGTTGTACACCATAAATGCATATAATTTTTGCTTGTCAATTTACTTCATTAATGCTGAAAAAAATAGAGAAGTATGGTATTCTCTTTAACAATGAAATTTCAGGCAGTGATTAAAAAGATGATTCATGGCCGGGTGTGAGGGCCCAGGCCTGTAATCCCAGCACTTTGGGAGGCCAAGGTGGGAGGATCACTTGAGGCCAGGAGTTCGAGACCAGCCTGGCCAACATAGTGAAACCCCATCTCTACTAAAAATACAAAAAACATTAGCCTGGCGTGATGGTGGGCACCTGTAATCCCAGCTACTTGGGAGGCTGAGGAAGGAGAATCACTTGAACCCAGGAGGCAGAGGTTGCAGTGAGTCGAGATTGTGCCATTGCACTCCAGCCTGGGCAACAAGAGCAAAACTCCATCTCAAAAAAAAGATGATTCACAATGATTTTATAATCGCATGAGGAAATACTAATTTTAAACTGTTAAAAATAATCAAGAGTATAAAATTATGTATTCTCTGTGAACTCAACTACATAAATAGTTTTCCTCATAGGCACAATTCTTGACTAAGAAAATGCCATGCTGTGCTAAAAAGCTCATATTTCTATCTTTGCTGAGCAAATAACAAGTTTGGATAATTTTTTTTCAGAACTTACTACTATATTTTGTATCAAGAACATTAAACATCAATATCCATTAGGAAAATGAAGCAGAACATAGAGTGTAGTATGAAGATACTTGTAGACAATATCCTACTTTAAATGATTTTGTCGGTAGTTTAAGCATGTACCTTTGATATTTGTCTCAAATATTTATCTACATGTTCTAGTTGTATGATAGATATTAGTTTGGTATAGAGCTTAGTAGAAAGCCTTACCCTTAGTAAATGTTCAAAAAAAATCTTGTTAATGGAGATTAAGGCACTAGAACTGTAAGTAGTAAAAGTCTTAAAACCGACCCCAATATCTCGGATGCCACAGGAAAAATAAAGTTATACTTTGAAACAATTTTGAAATTATTAACAATTTTAAATTATTTAAAATATTTTTTGAAAATGAGAACACTGTTTTATAAAAGCCAAAAGCCAGACAAATGGTAGTCAAATTTATGGACCATTAAAGGGAAAAATATTACGTGATGAGTAAAAGATCCTCCTGAAATATGCCTTATTATTTATGTACTGCAGTGGACAGGAAATTGCAGGTGAAGAGTAGCAATAAACATACAAAGTGCATTAGTTTATGTCTCTAAGTTTAAGGAGGCAGTGGTCATGTGGCCAAATGCCATTAGAATTTGGCACAAAAGCCAGATAAGTAAATGAAATTCATCTGGCAGAGACAAAAATGGCACAGAATTTTTAGTGGAGAAAGGTTTTCTTGTTTACTATGCATTTTAGGAGAAACATAAATAAGTAGACCAAAAGAAATTGATAGCCTCAGACAAAATTTTATCAGCAGTGTTTATGAGGGTGAGTTATAGGAGATAAAGACTTAGTAGTCAGCATTTGGACCATAGAGCATAATACTAGTAAACAGAATCCTGCAAAGAACAGTGAGTGTGGTCTTTTATTTATAAATCACAGACTTCACTTCTCATTCCTTTTAAAATTTATGTTATCTTTGTTTTCTTTTCTACCTGCCTGATCTCAACCCATTGAAGATTACAAGTAGCAAAAGATGTTACAAATGTTTATTCCATCTTCAATCATTGTTCGCATGTGTTATTATCAAAATAAATCTTTTTCTACTTTAATAACAAATTTAGACTCATCAATATCTGCAAATTACAGAAAGTAGTTTATTTTTACTTCCTTACATGCTAACTCACAGAGTTTGGTGAAAGCATATGAAACAACATGACTGTAAGATTTACAGAAGACCTATATTTGAGTTAGCAAGCTGTGTAACACTGTATGACTTGATTAAAATCCTGAATCTCAGTTTCCTAGTTTGTACAATGTCACATAAGAATTCTGAGACTAGTTGGTGGGAAGGATAAGATAAAATGTGGGTGACACATTTTGTTAATGGTAAAGTACTATACAAAACATTTGCTGTTGTTGTGTGTAGGTCTCTTGTGATAAACAAGTGAAGCACTCTCTTATTGAAAAAAAGTATTTTTAATGGGCATCATGCTGATGGCAGCAAAATGGTGCCATCTTCATATGTCTTAAGAAACACATGGCCATCAGTTATAATCTGCATTTCCTTTGCCTTAGAATATTTTATAGTTTCCTGTTTAATAGATAATTATTCGTATTGTATATTTATCTAATCCATGGTTCTGCAAACATTTTCTGTAAAGCAAATACTTTAGGCTTTGTGGGACATACAGTTTGTCACAACCACTCAACTGGCAGCGACAGGCAATAAGCAAATTAATGGGTGTAGCTATGATACACAGTATCTTTATTCACAGAAATAGGTCACTGGCCAGATTTGGCCTATAGGCCTTAGTTAATTAACCATCACCTATTCTACTGATGTTAAGTCTTTAAAGAGATATGAATATTACCATCGCCATGAAGATGCTGAGAGTATGGTTCCATTTGAAAATGTTTTGTTGCTCATCAACATATCCTATCCTATTATGCCAAGACTCCAGGAGAAGATATAGTTACTTGGAAAGATTGATGACACTAAATGAACACACATTGATGGCATATGTCTTCCTAGCAGGATGCATTAATATTTTTTATAATTGTCTCAGGGTGCTTCAAGGACATCTCAAAAGGACATCAACAGACATAAACTGGAGCAACATGACAGAATAAAGAGCTCCACCGATTATCTCCCCCTCAAGGACACTAATTTAACAACTATCAACATACAAAAAAAGCGCATTAATAAGAACGAAAAATCAGGTAAGCATTTACAGTATTTGGCTTTAACTTTGTATCACTCAAAGAGGCATAGAAGAGGTAGAAAAAAAGGTCTTGAATCACCAATGCCACCCTTTCCTCACTGCCCTGGCAGTGGCAGTGTGATGCAGAGATGGTTTCTGTGTGATAGGCAGAAAGAGCACAGAAATTGTGAGGCGTTGGACTCAGTGCTGTCCTTCTAGAGACGAAAAAAAAGAACTGGACCAAACTCAGCTGACTCCAACCCACAGAGAGAGAATTTAAACCAGCCCTAGCTGGAGGAGAATCACAAATCCCAGCATTTGCAACTTGAGTTCCTACAAACTGTGCCACTGACGGCTGAAAAGGCTCTAAATAAACTTGAAAGGCAGACTAGGCCATAGAGACTGCAACTCCTAGGAGAGTCCTACTGCTGAACTGGACCCACAGACAGTGAGCTGGGGAGGCAAGTAACCTACTGAGACACAATTTGGGGTGGCTAAGGCAGTGCTGGCATCATCCCTCCTCCAATCCTGGGCTTCACAGCTCATGGCTTCAAAAGAGACCCCTTCTTTCCACTTGAAGAGAGCAGAGAGAAGAGTGGGGAGGACTTTGTCTTGCATCTTGGATTTTAACTCAGCCACAGCAGGATAGGGCACTAGTTAGAGTTGTGAGGCCCCATTCCAGGCCCTAGCTCCCAGATAACATTTCTAGACATACCCTGGGCCAGAAGGGAACCTGCTTCCTTGAAGGAAAGGGCCCAGTGCTGGCAGCATTCATCACCTGCTAACTGAAGAGCCTTTGAGCCCTGAATAACCAGCAGAAATACCCAGGTACTACACCAAGGGTCCTGGGTGAGCCTCTGAGACTTGATGTCTTCAGCTGAGATTCAGCACAGCTGTGGTGCAAAACACCTTCTGCTAGAGAAGAGTACAGGGAAAAGTAAAGGGGACTTGGTGTTGCACCTTAGGTATCAGAATGGCCATGTGGGAGCAGAGCACCAACCGGGTTCTTCGGGTTCTCAGTTCCAGGACTTGACTCTTCAATGGCCTTTCTGGACCTACCCTGGGCCAGAGGGGATACCATTGCCCTGAATGGTGAGTTCCAGCCAGGCAGCATTCACCACAAGCTGACTAAAGAGCACATGCGCCTTATGGAAGCATCAGTGATAGTCTGGCAGTATACCTCATGGCATGTGGTAGTGGTGGCTATAGGTTGAAGCTCCTCTGATGATCTGTTGCCTACAAGAAAGACAGTTTACTTATAAAGACACATAGACAGAAAATAAAGGAATGGAAAATAGATATTTCATGCCATTGGAAACCAAGAAAGAGGAGAAGTAGCTATACTTACATCAGACAACACAGGTTTCAAGAAAAAAACGATTAAAAGAGACAAGGTCATTATATAATGATAAAGGGGTCAAGTAAGGAGGAGGACATAAAAATTTTAAATATAAATGCACTCAACACTGAGCACCCAGATATATAAGGCAAATACCATTAGAGCTAAAGAGAGAGAGACTCCGATACAATAATACCTGGAGACTTCAACATCCTACTTTTAGCATTGGGCAGATCTTCCAGATAGAAAATCAAAAACAACAAAAGAAAAACAATGGACTTAATCTGCATTACAGACCAAATGGATTTACTAGATATTTACAGAACATTTTATCCAACTGCTGCAGACTACAGATTTTTTGCCCGAGCACATGGATCATTCTCAAGGATAGACCATATGGTAGGTCACAAAACAAGTCTTAAAATATTCAAAAATTGAAATAATAGCCAGCATCTTCACTAACCATAATGGAATAAAACTAAAAATCAGTAACAAGAGAAGTTTTTGAAACTATACAAATTTATTGAAATTAAACAATATGCTTATCAACAGTGGGCCAATGAAGAAACTCAGAAGGAATATGAAAAAATTTCTTGAAATAAATGATAATGGAAACACAACATACCAAAACCTATGAGATACAGCTAAAGCAGTACTGAGGAAAGTTTATAGCTATTAATGTATACATCAAAAACGACAGGAAACTTCAAATAAACAATCCAATGATGCATTTTAATGAACTAGTAAAGCAGAAGCAAACCAAATCCAAAATCTGTAGAAGAAAATAAACAATAAAGATCAGAGCAGAAATAAGTGAGATTGAGATGAAGAAAAGACTACAAAATTACTTCTTTGAAACAAAAAGTTGAAAAGTTGTGTATTGTTTTTGAAAAGTTAAACACAATTGACAAATGTTTAGCCTAGCTAAAAAAAAGGAGGGAAACTACAAATAAATAAAATTAGAAATGAAAAAGCAGACATTGCAAATGATACTGAAGAAATTCTAAGGATATATGAATATGTTTGGAAATCTAGAAGAAATGGACAAATTCCTAGACACATGCAACCTACCAAGACGGAACCATAAGAAAATCCAAAATCTGACCAGACTGATAACAAATAATAAAGTTGAAGCTGTAATAAAAATTTTCCCAATAAAGAAAAGCCTGGGAAACCGTGGCTTCATTGTTGTAGCAAACATTACTAAAAAAATTACTGCTAAACCTAGTCAAACTATTCTGAAAAATAGAGGAAGTGGGAATAGTTCTATACTCATTCTATGAGGCCAGTATCACCCTGATACCAAAACCAAAGACACAGCAATAAAAAAACAAAACCTACAGGCCAATATCTCTGAAGAATATTGATGTAAGAATCCTCAACAAAACACTAGCAAACTGAATTCAACAATATATTAGAAAGATCATTTATCATGACCAAATGGAATGTATCCCTTGCATGCAAGAGTAGTTCAACATACAAAAATCAATCAATGTAATTTATCATATGAACAGAATGTTCAAAAACAGTATGATCATTTCAACTGATGCTGAAAAAGCATTTGATAACCTTGACCATCTCTTCATGATAAAACCCTAAAATAACTGGGGATAGAAGAAACATATCTCAATGTAATAAAAGCCATATATGACAGACCCACGGCTAGTATCATACTGAATGGGGATAAACTGAAAGCCTTTTTTTTTAAGAGCTGGAACATGACAAGAATACCCACTTTCACCACTTTATTCAATATAGTTTATTCAACATAGTACTGGAAGTCCTAGCTAGTGCATTCAGAAAAGCAAACAAATATAGGGCATCTAAATTATAATGGAAGAAGTAAAATTACCCTTGTTTGCAGATGATATGATTTTGTATTTGGAAAAACCTAAAGATGCCTATAACTATTTCAACTGCTAAACGAATTTAGTAAAGTTGCAGGATACAAAATCAATATACAAATTTAGTAAAATTTCTATATGCCAACAGTGAACAATCTGAAAAAGGAATTTTTAAAAATCCCATTTACAATAGCCACAAATAAAATCCAATACCTAGGAATTAACCAAATAGTGAAAGATCTTTATAATAAAAAAGTATAAAACACTGGTGAAAGAAATTGAAGAGGACACCAAAAAAATGGAAAGGGATTCCATGTTCATAGACGGGAAGAAATAATATTGTTAAAATGTTCCTATTCCCCAAAGCAATCTACACATGCAATGCAATCTCTATCAAAATACCAATGACAATCTTCACAGAAAGAGAAAAAAATCTTAAAACTTATATGGAACCACAAAAGACCCAGAATAGCCAAAGCTATCCTAAGCATAAAGAACAAAACTAGAGGAATCACATTACCTGACTTCAAATTATACTACAGAGCTATAGTAACCAAAACAGCATGGTACTGAAAAAAATAGAAATAGTCCAATGGAACAGAATAGAAAACCCAGAAACAAATCCAAATGCCTACAGTTAACTCATTTTCAACAAAGGTGCCGAGAATGTACACCAGGAAAAAGACAGTCTCTTCAATAAATGGTGCTGGGAAAACTGGATATCCATAAGCAGAAGAATGAAACTAGACCTCTATCTCTTGTCAAATACAAAAAACAAATAAAAAATGGATTGAAAACTTAAATCTAAGACCTCAAACTATAAAATTACTACAAGAAGCCTGGGCATGGTGGCTCACACCTGTAATCCCAGCACTTTGGGAAGCCGAGGCAGGCAGATCACTTGAGGTAAGGAGTTTGAGACCAGTCTGACCAACATGGTGAAACCCTGTCTCTACCAAAAAATACAAAAGTTGGCAGGGTGTAGTGGCATGCTCCTGTAATCACAGCTACTTGGGGGATTGAAGTGGGAGAATCACTTGAATCTGGGAGGCAGAGGTTGCAGTGAGCCGAGATCATACCACTGCACTCCAGCCTGGGCAAGAGAGTGAGACTCTGTCTCAAAAACAAAATTACTACATGAAAACTTGGAGGAAACTCTCCAGGACATTGGAATAGACAAAAATATATTGAGCAATACTGTACAAGCACAGGCAACCGAAGCAAAAATGGACAAATGGGATCAAAACTTAAAAAGCTTCTGCACAGAAATGAAAACAATAAAAAATGTGAAGAGACAACCATAGGATGGGAGAAAATATTTGCAAACCACTGATCTAAGAAGAGATTAATAGCCAGATTATATAAGGGGCTCAAAGAACTCTATAGGAAAATAAACAATCTGATCTAAAATGGGAAAAAGACATAAACACACATTTCTCAAAAGAAGACATACAAATGGCTAACAGGCTTATGAAAAGGTACCCAAAATCATGAGAGAAATGCAATTCGAAACTACAATGAGATATGATCTGACCCCAGTTAAAGTGGCTTATATTCAAAAGTCAGGAAATAAAAATACAGGAGAGGACGTGGAGAAAAGGGAACCCTCATACACTTTTGGTACACACTTTTTCCCCACACTTTTGGTGGGACTGGAAATTAGTACAACCACTATAGAGAACAGTTTGTAGCTTCTTCAACTCTAAAAATAGAGCTACCATATGATCCAGCAATCCCACTGCTGGGTATATACCCAAAAGAATGGAAACCAGTACATCAAAAGATGTTTGCACTCCAATGTCTGTTGCAGCACCGTTCACAATAGCCAAGAATTGGAAGCAACCCGTTTATCCACAGATGAATGGATAAAGAAAATACAGTAAATGTACATATACATAATGAAATACTATCCAGCCATTAAAAAAAAATCTTGTTATTTGCAACCACATGGACGGAACTAGAGATCATTGTGTTAAGTGAAATAAGCCAGGCACAGAAAGACAAATATCACATGTTCTCAGTTATTTGTGGGCTCTAAAAATCAAGACAATTGAATTGACAGACATAGAGAGTAGAAAGGTTGGTTACCAGAGGCAAGAGTACCATGGGGCACTGAGGGGTAGGTAGAAATGGTTAATGGGTACAAACAAATGATTAGAAAGAATGATAAGACCTGCTATTTGATAGCACAAAAGAGTGACTATAGTCAATAATAATTTAATTGTATATTTAAAAATAACTAAAAGAGTGTAATTGAATTATTTGTAACACAAAGGATAAATGCTTAAGAGGATGGATTCTTCATTCTCCACGATGTGATTATTTCACATTGCATGCCTGTATCAAAACATCTCATGTACCCGCCTGAATATATACACCTGCTATGTACCCACGAAAATTAAAAATAAATATAGGAAAGGAAAAATTTTTTAAAAGACAATATTCCTGAAATAATCTTCTTTTTTTGTGTTTTTTTGCTGTTCCTCTTCAACAGAGCTCTAAGTTCCTTCAAGTGGGAGCAAATTTCATACTCTTCTTTTATCTTTCTCTATGTTTAGCAAAATGTACCATAGGCACTTTATCTTGCTGATTACCTTATCTATTAGAAACTATCTTTTATTCTAATGAAATGAGTCAGCATAAAGAAATCTCTGAAATCCTGGGCCTTACACCTCGTCTCACACCTCATCTCAAATATCTTGAATTCCACATGAACAGGCAATCTGTCATTTTTCTCTGCATTTTGGAGAATGTCAAAAGAGTAATGATAGAGTTATAACCATGTTAATTTGTCATTTTAGAATTTCACAAACAATATTTCTTTTCTCAATGATGTTTTATTTACAATGTCTCACCCATATTCTCATACATTTTAAAAGAGTTGGGGTTGAGGAAACAATCTTAAAAGTTTCTCGAGGTTCATTTGTTATTTTCTTAGTAACCAAGATTGACCAGATGCAGGTTCCAAGTTCCTTTTGTAGCTTCATATTTCATGCCAGTTTAGAAAGAGCTCAGAAAATACCAGCTACGTTAAAAAATGCTAATCAGGTTGTAAAACTTTTTTTATTATTAGTTTTTTGAGACAGAGTCTGGGTCTGTCACCCAGGCTGGAGTGCAGTGGTGATATCTCAGCTCACTGCAACCTCTGCCTCTGGGGTTCATGCGATCTCCCACCTCAGCCTACCGAGTAGTTGAGACTATAGGCATCACCACCATGCCCGACTAATTTTTGTATTTTGTTTTTTTTTTAGTAGAGACAGGGTTTCGCCATGTTGGCCAGGCTGGTCTTGAACTCCTGACCTCAAGCGATCCACCCATTTCGGCCTCCCAAAGTGCTGGGATTACAGGCATGAGCCACCGCGCCCAGCGTCAGGTCGTACAACTTTTGAACAATTAGCCTAAGCAACTTGATATTTACTGAGAAAAAAATATGTATTTTAAGAAACCGATTTTGGAAATATACTGTGGTAACATTTTACCCAAAGAAGACAATAATTTTTTCCCCTGAAACATGTTCAATTTAATGATTTCTTGTTGCTAAAGAATGCTTCATCTTCACCTCGTAAAGAGAAGGGAAAGAAAAGAAAAATCAAGAATGCTTTATCTGAAGTTTCTAGTATGAGTCATACTATTTAAGAGTGATTACAGAAAATCAGACCATAAACAATGCAAGTGATTATTAAATTGTTGATGGTGACACAAAGCTTGAAAGTAATTATCAATAAAAATATGTATGTTTGCTTCTAAAAAAATTGAAATTTGTGTAGGCCAAAAACAGAATAGAGAGGCAAATCACAACACTTATCTATGTATGTTGTGTATATATGTGTGTACATATGTCACATGTAGTACATGTATAGTATGTATGTACCTGTTATGTGTATGTATGCATGTATGTATAAACACATATATGGATGAATATAATGATAGAAATTTGAGTGAGATAAATTTCAACTCTTTAATTTAGTAAAACATAGTAATATTCAATTTTAGTGAAGATTTAGTGATATAGATAATTTTATATACTACTATTACGGATAGAAAATGGTACAAACCTTCTTGAAAGTGTTTTGTACAGATGTACCGTGAAATATAATGAGATGCAATTAACAGGAAATGTATTTAAATAAATATTTTAAGAGATTAAAATATTACACAGCACATTTAGTTTAAAAAGCAAATATTTATATGTATATATTCTTATATATCCTGCAGTTGTTTACTAATTGCTTTTTGTGCACAACAATAGTTAATATACTTAGAAAAATAATTTGAAATAACATACTTGCAAGTGTCAGTAGTGGTTATTGGACATATTGGTGATTTTTCTTCTTTGTATCTTTCTACATTTTCAAAATGTTACCTAATCAACATCTAGTTTAGAATGAAAATATATTGATTTTTTATTTCCTCAAAAATATGATAGTAAATAGTTTTCATATTACTTATTCTTAAATTATACACAGTCTAAGTAAACCATAGCAGGGTTTGGGACTACAAACATTTAAAATTTTATAGTAGTAAAAAGTGTTTCACACAGGATCATTCAGAAAATAAATTTTTAGAATCCCTGAAGATTCCTCAGTAGAAGTTGCTCAGAAAATAATATTTGCTTTGAATGGAGTAATACAATTACAAATTATCATAAAATTTTCTGCATACATATCAAAGCTCTATATAAACTCTATAAGAGCTTAAAGCTCTTATAGAGTAAACCTCTAAACTTCTTCAGGACTTAGTGAATCTGTTTCGCAAGGGTAAGCCACAAGGGGGCAGAAGAACAGTATGGTTTACAATATCCCATCCTAGAACATGTTATACAGTTTAATTTTACCAATAACATAATTATTAACTATTAATACTCAAACTCTAACATCACAATGTATTCCTATGACCTTTTCAGATGGAATTAAAATGTTTTTCCTACACTATTGATACAAATGCGAAAACAATAAATGACACAATAGTGGAGTAGACCATGTTGTATGCTTTTTCTAAGACTTTTCAGAGACACAGTTTCAATATGCCTGTATTTTTCTTGCAGTTTTGCTTTATTTTAATTATTTTTTCATTTAATAGACTTGGGGGATGGGTCCTTCACCCATGTACCTCAGATAGGTACCATGAAAGTAGATGAAATCATCTAGAATCATAGAAGCTCAGTATGTCTGACCTATGAGGCGGCTTTAGAGATCACCTGGTCTGAATTTGTCATGTTATCTATGGAGAAACTGAGGACCTGAAAATAACATGCACAAAAGCATATGACATATTAAGGCAGAGGCAGGAGTATAAGGCATATCTCTGGACAACTAGATCTATCAATGTAGTGATAATCAGAACATGTTCACAGTTTGAAGAATCACATAGAAGGAGTAACAATTTTGGTCTCTCTCTGGGCCAGATCTCAGAGATTCAAATTTGTGATTCCGGTACTAGTGTCATATGAGGTCTAAGATGGAGAAAGGTAACATGCCAGCTCTGACAAAAATGTTTTTTTGACGCTTCAGAATCCCAGTTTTCCAGGTGACCTACAGAAATCAATTTTGATCCTTCCGGAACCCATCTCAGAAGCAACATCTCTTTTAAGCTGATGTTGGGGCTTCTGCACTCTCATAATTCGGCAAGTGGGAGGGGGTGTTACAGCTTTTTTACTCCTGTGGTTTGGCAAGTTCCAAGTCCTTGTCTCATGATCAAGAGTAATGAGATACATGGACACCAGAGAGTGAGTAATGCAGAGTAGAATTTTATTGAGGGGCAGAAAGAAAGCTCTCAGAGTGAGAGGGGACCTAAAAGTGGGTTGCCAGCTGTGAGGTTGCAAGGCTGAGTCCAGGGTTTTTATGGGTTTAGAATGGGGAAATACATGCTGATTGGTTTATGGGTAGGCTTGGAAAAGGTACTATTCAGAAAGGTACGATAGTGTAAAGAACCAACCAGGGGCTGAAGTGAAGGCTTGGCCTGGGACCAGTCAGAGGCTAAGTGCACCGAACGTGAATGGAAGTTCTCACTCTGGTGCATGGGCTCTATCGAGAACTGGTAGTTTGGTGTTCAGACTGTCACTGGCTTGAAGCTTAAGTGTCACTGGGGACCCGCCCATATCTGCCTAGGAATTTGTCTGCCTCCTATCACTATCACTAGGCTTGGGAAAAGAGTGACAATTTCCAATTAATTAATAACTGAGTCGTGGAGGCTCACAGTGATAAAGGACCTTAGGAATATTCTAGATCAAGATTTCATTAACCCCAGTTATAAAAGAGTCAATAGGCTGTTAGCCAATTTGTTTTGAAAGAAGTATTGGATTTAGGGCAACAAGCTTAGCATGAATGCTAGCATTCAGTAACAATATCCATTCTGTCAACATTCTTTCACTCCTCAACTAAAAACAATTTTTTGCTGAGAACGTTTGTTGTGGACATGTAATGTGATTTTAAAGGGGTTTTCAATCATAAAGCATTTTGAAGAAAAACACTTAGTCATTTAATACTCAACCTTTCATCTGCTGCTCCACCTTAACCTCAGTATATACTTTTCTAACTTGTAAATACAATTCATTACTTTTGTTTGAGGCACAGCTTTCATGACAAACAAGAAAAATGAGTTCATAATTAAAATATTGTTTTCTTAAGTCTTAAAATATTCTTAGCATCAGCTTGGAATGCTTCCTCTTCCTATACTCCCCTTTCCTATGCTAATCACTTGTCCACACATCTACTATGGTCTGAATGTTTGTGTCCCCTCAAAATTCCTATGTTGAAATGCTAATCACCAAGGTGATGGTATTAGGAGGTGGGGCTTTGGGAGGTCATTAGGTCATGGAGATAGAGCCAGCAATGAATGGAATTAGTGGCCTTATAAAAGGGGCCCCAGAGAGATCCCTCACCCCTTCTACCATATGGATACAGCAAGAAGATGCCATCTTTGAACCAGAAAGTGGGCCCTCACCAGACATCAAACCTACTGGTGCCTTGATGTTGGACTTCTCAATCTTCAGAAACGTGAGAAATAAATTTCTGTTTATAAGCCACCCGTTTACTGCATTTTGCTATAGCAGCCAGAATGGACTAAGACAACATTCAACTCCTGTTTTTTTTTTTTTTTTTAATATGCAGGCCACCAATTCTCCTTACTCTCTGAAGAGTCCAAGAATAAAATCACCCCATTTCTGTCACATCCTGATGCCTTGCTGTGGATGTTATAGGTTCCATTTCTGTTCTTTTAGTGGTTGCAATAAATATTTTTTCTTCCTTTTTGGTTATTTGTCCTAACTAATAAATAGGTAAAAGCTGGGCACAGTGGCTCACACCTGTAATCCCAGCACTTTGGGAGGCCCAGGCAGTGGGTCCCTTGAGCCCCAGAAGTTCGAGACCAGCCTGAGCAACATAGTGAGAGTTGTTTCCAGGTTTTGCAATTAGAAACAGTGAAACCTTGAGAATCCTTATACACATCTCCTTGTTCAAGAGATTGGGGTAATAATTAGAAAATGGCTTTGCTGGTTTGTAAGAGATAAGCAGTTTTAATTTTGGAGATAATGGCAAACTGTTTTTCAAAGTGTTTGAACAAATTTAGTGTCCTATGTGCAGTAATAATGAGTTCGGGTTGCTCCATATCCAAAAGCTTATGGGTGCATAAAATGATGTTGTGCTTTCTATGTCTTGTTTAAGAGATAGTTTCTTACCCCAAAGACCTAATGTTATTACATTTATTCCTAACAGTTTAAAATGTTTTCAGTTCATATTTAAATATTTAATTTACCTGAATTTGATTTTTGTTTCTGTTTTTAGGTAGATATCTAATTTCACTTATTAAATATGAATAAACATTTGTCCCATCCGTATTTATTGATGAGTCTTCCTTTCCCAGATTATTTGCATAGCCACCTCTGCCATAATTCAAGTTTCCAAATATGTGTGACTCTATCTGTCTTCTCCACAACAGTGGTCTATTTGACTCTTTCTGTACCAATACCCTACAGTATTTTCATTGCCATAGCTTCATGTAAATTTGTAAAACCTGGTAAGGCAATCCCTTCCTATACATTAGTGTCTACTTCAGTATCATATTGGTTATTCTAGGCCTTTTGATTTTCTACATACATTTTAGATTTAGCTTCTCAAGTTCCACAACATAATGTGGGGATTTTGACTGGAATTTCATTGTCTTTATAAATCAATTTGGGGAAGCTTTATTTCTTTATAATGCAGAGCCTTCTAATCCATGAATGTCGTATATCTCTCCAGTTCTTTAGGTTTCTCTAATATCTTTTAGTAAAATTATACCATTTTCTCTTTAAAGACTCTTTTGGGGTAAGATTTATTCTTGGATAATTTATTATTGTTGATGCTTTTATAACTGTATCATTTTTATTATATTTTCTAATTCTGCAATGTTCGTGGGTAGAAGTATATTTTTTGTGTGTTGATTATGCATCCCACCACTTTGCAAAATTATCTTAAGCCTAGTAATTTATATGCATATATTTTGGATTTTGCACATAAGTGATCATCTTATGGGAATAATGAGAGGCATCTTTCTAATCCTTATATATTTTTATTTTGCCTTAATGCACTGACTCAGATACTAAGTACTGTGTTGAAGAGAAGTAGTGGCAGTGAGAAACCTTTTGCCATTCCAGATTTCAAATGGAATGCCTTTATTATTTCATGATTAAATATGCTACTTGCTGTGAATTTTTGTAGGTGCCAATTTTCAGGCTAGTAAAGGCACCTTCTATTTCTACTTTGCTAAAGATGTTTTTTTCTTTTTAAATAAAGTAGATGTGGAGTTTTATCAAATTTTTTTCTGCACCTATTGATGGTTGTAATTTTTTTCAATAAGTAAACATGGTAAGCTAATTGATTTTCTTGTGTAAAACCATCTTTAACATTCCTGAGGTAAACACTACTGGATTTTTTTGCTAATATTTTGCTAATGGTCATTTCATCTATGTTCAAGAGAATGTTGTCCTATAATGTTAATTATTATACTGTCCTTGCCAACTTTTGGTTTTAAAATGTTGTTAGTTTTATTAAATGAGTTGAGGATTTTATTCTACAATGACTTAGGGGTTTGTGAGATATTCAAACTTATTCCTTGGATCTCTGGGAGAAGTATTGATAAAACCAAGGCCTCTACACATGTGCAAGAGTTTATTTGTGATATTTGTCTAGGAAGCTTGTTGAGAATTAACTGCAATGAAAATACTTTTTATTTCTGGAAGTTCTGTTGATTTTTTTCCTATGTATGATCCATTTTTAATAATATTTTGCTCTTTTCTTATATTTTAGATTCATATATTTATATCCTTATTTATTTTAAACATACCCATTTTGGAATTTTCATTTTATTTTCTGTTTTGGAAATATAAACCTGCTATCTCTCATGTCAGTGGACTCTCATGTTAAATTGTTTCATTGTGATTCTGGAAATTTGGATTGCGAGTTTATCCTCAGTTTTATGCTTGACAGTCTTGTAAATGTTCGAGTTGATAGAATTTACCTCCAAAGATATCTTGTATTTATTTTTGCAAATAGAAGCTGGTAATAGTTTTTATATTACCTTCTCAGCTCAGGGTATCTATGTTTTGCATATAGTCTCAGTTTAATCTGAAAGGCACTGAGGGTAGGCTTCAGGTTACACAAAGGAAGAAAGTCTCCACTCTCCTGCAAAGCTCAGAGACCAACAAGCTTCTTTTTTCAGCTCTCCACGCCTTTGCCAGGCTCCTCTTTAGCTTCCTCTTTGTCTTTGGCCTCTAGGAGTATCCCTTACTTTTTTCTAAGGTTAACTGTAACTTTACAAATATTTTTGCTCAATTTATGTATGTTTTTAGCAGAAAGCTTATCAGGTCCCCTAATGCATATCTTTAGAAGACAGTCAGTAAGACCTTCCTCAAAGTTATTCCTCAGGATTGACAAATTTGATAAGATAAATTCATGCTATATATCAGGAAAAACAAACGTAAAAAGAAAAAAGAACACTCCTACCTGTTATTAATTTATGCCTTCCTCCCTCAAAAAACATACAGTATCTATTATTAATGCTAAGAATTCAAGAAAACGAGTCTAAGAGATGTTCAGAATTTCCAAAAGATAATTGTTATGTATAACTGTACACATAAACACAAAGAAAGTAGGATGGTTCTACCTTCTTTTTAATCCTATTGGGACAAGCTCCTACTTCTCCAAACGTCTTCTGTTGCAATCATTTGCCTTTCATACACATCAACTTGGAGATAGTTGGGGGAATCATAACATGAGACAGAAAAGATAATAAGAGAAGGTAGACATGTTTCTAAAAAGAAGATTTAAAATTCTATAACAAGAAGCACAACAAATATTTCTAACACATCTTCTTTGCTGTTTCTAAAAGATCAATGCCGAGTACTATTGGGTTCAGGACACACTACACTCTAAAATGTCACCTTGGCATTTGAGAAAACTGCAAAAGCAGAAAGCTCTCTGTCACCTTCTCCTCATCCTTCTCCCCTGAAGCAGGTTATAAAATGCTCATTTGAGAGGTGCTCTCCCTATAACTAGAAGAAAGGATCATCGTTATCTCTGAAGACATTGGATACAGAGACGAATCTTAAACAGCCCTTGCAAAGTTCCTCCCAGTTTATTACCTTTAGATCATACCCCGTTTACCCAATCATACTTCTCCACGCTGTCCACGCTTTCCTAAACCTAAGTAGAAAAATATACGGGCTCCTCTGTTTCTTTAGGTTTTCATTTCTAAAGGCTCCTCTGTCACATAAACTTTATATTAAATAATTTTTTATGCTTTTCTTCTGTTAATCTGTCTTTTGTCATAAGATCTTCAGGCATAAACCTAGCATAGGTGAAGGAAAGATTTATGTCCCCCCTACAATACTTAACCATTGTCTTATAGTGTTCCTTAATTACTTCTTCTAGGTATCTACTGAATAGAGATTCACAGATTCTTTTCTTGTTCAGAAACAGTCCTTTTTTTTTTTTTTTTGCCTCAAGCAATACATACTATTTTTCAGATACTTAGCAAACGTGTTAGGTAATTCAAATTAATGTTAGAATTCATTCTGGGACAATAGTTCCTAAAATATGGTGGTTGAGGCTGGAGAGCAGTTGTATTTTATTTCCCCCTGGCATATACTTGAAATTTAAAATGACATTTTACAAACAATGACAACGTTCCCCCAGACATTGTATTTGTTTTATTGCTTTTTGGCAAAATTTAGTTTTCTGTAATTGTCACTGAGTCAATGAATACTGCACCCTCTTAAGATGATAAGTTTAGTATCTGTACTGTGAAAAACCGGGGCGTGTAAAGCAAGACGGAAGAAAAGGACATGTGAGGCATGTTGCGAATAGAACGGAAGTTGTACGACTGTGCTGCAAGGCCAGGAATTGTGCTGTGTGCTTTTTCATACGTTTTACCTGCTGATTTCCAGAGAAAATGTATGAATCAAAAATTACTCGTTTCTAGATGATAAAAACAAGGCCAAAGTAATGTAAGTGACTTACCTCTCTTCACATTTTCACAAGCAGTGTGGTTTTTTTCTGTCTCTGACTCAGAATACAGTTTTTTTTTTTCCTGTGACACTATAGTTATCCTCCATTCTAACCAACACAGGTCTCATAGTTATCCTCCATTCTAACAAAGACATACAGTACTTTGTACCAAATATATGAAATTCAGCAATCAGGTATAATATGTGGGAAGGGATCGCGGTGGTTGGTGATGCTTGTAGCACAAAATCCATATTTGAAGTCAGAGCCTAGTCCTGGCCCTCAGATAATTCAAGAAGATCCATTAAGGTGGGTATTCCAGGATATTTTCCATCCACTGAACAATGTATATTTACAAAAATAAGTAGACCTCCTACATGTATTAATTTCCTAAAGTTGCTATATTAAATTATCACAACTGGGCGCTTAAAACAATAGAAATGTATTATTTCAAGTCCTGTAGGCTAGAAGTCTGAAATAAAGATGTAGGCAGGGCCACATTCCCTCTGAAGGCTCTAGAAACAACTCCTTTCTTGCCTCTTCCAGCTTCTGGTGGTTTCCAGCAATTCTTGACATTCTTCGTCTTGGAGTCAAATCACTCCAATCTCTGCCTCCGTCTTTGCATGGCCTTCTTCTTTGTGTCTCTGTCAAAATTTCCGTCTCCTTTCTCTTATAAAGATGCCAGTCATTAAATGTAGGGCCCACTTTAAATCCAGGATGATTTTAACACAAGATCCTTAACTAATTAGATTTTTACCTCAAGATTCTTTATTAATTACATCTCCAAAGACCCTATTTCCAAATAGGATTAAATTCTGAGGTTCTGGGTAGTAATGAATTTTGGGTGAACACTATTTAACCCACTACAATTATCAATAGAAGCATTGTAATATTATATTAACCATATAAGTTCAACAGACTGTTATTTTTTACTATTATTACTACCCCAAATATATCACCTTTATTTTGTATAGATGCATCCCTTTTTATTTTAGAGTACACACAGGAAGTCTTATGCACATTGTACTCACTGAATTTTCATAACAACTCTATAAATATACTATAAATATACAATATATAAATATAAATATGCATAATTGTTTCACATTGTGTCGATAAAGATCCAGAAACGTAGAGAACTAAAGACTTGCTAAAATATGCATATGTGGTAAATACAAGGAAAGAGACTTTGATTCAAGCAGGACAGGAGAAAAGCAGGATTATTATGAATAGGAATGTATTGTATATGAGTGAGTTGTCTTCTCTCTTAGATTGCAAGCTGGTTGAGAGTGTGGGCATATTCTTAAAACTTTTATCTTCCACAATATTTAACCTACTTGTCATTTATTCATTAATCATATATTTATTGTTCTTGGCCATTAACAAACACTCGATTTACATGCTTGTTAATTAATTCTATATAAGCGTCTATAAACCTCAAGTGTGTACCGTATAGCACAGAGTAGAATGTGCATTATTCAGTCATTCCATTTATATACTTATTTGTTTATTTATTTATTTTGGTGGGGTGGAATGAAATTTAATATTTTTCCTACTCTTTGCAAATTTCCTCTTCACTTGATGGTCATTAAGATGATTTCCTGTAAGAACTGCCTCTGAAAATGAAAAATGACTCTATAGTTGATGGATGGAAACCGCAATATGGAACTAAAATGATAATACAGATATGCAAACTAAAACATTACATAGCCTGCAGCAGATTTTGACTGCTTATTTATGAAACCCTGCAAAGTGGGGTCTATAATGAAATTGCGGCTAGACCCTTAGCTGTAACATCTATCATGGCGGGCGATGGTATACAACTAAATGAGAAGTTGTTAAGGTCAAGGTACAACCAATATGTATACACTTGATATACAAATGTGTGACTTATGCACAGAAAAAGCAATAGATAAAAATATGATGGATTCAATCTTTTTTTTTCTCCCAATGGAGACCATCTTTAAGATAAATGGTATGGATAACTTTATAAAAAGGTCACCCCTGATTTTATTTATTTAGCCTCAAAGGTAGCAGAAACAAATTACTTTTTTTAAAGGAAAACATCTGATTTTTTTTTGTTTCAGCCATCATACATATGTCAATTTAGCCTGTGGGGAAGTTTGATAACTCATGATTACCCACAATTACATTATAAATTATTCTTTTCACAATGTTTCTATGCATTCTTTCCCTTTTTACAGCACTTAGACCATCATCAGTTCTTTTAAGATGAGTGTTCTAAATTGTCTTCTCTATATTTAATCCCCCTTGATCCACATTGCACTCCTAAATGCAATGTGTGTATCATTGTGTGTATCATTCCTTTTTTTCCAATGTGGTAGCTTGCCTGTCTGATGGTAGAGCTTGGATAATGTGTTGTCCCAGGTAACACTCAAACATTTAAATTGAAGTGTTCTATAGATAATGCATCCTCATTTGTTTTGTAACAAGATAGACATTGTAGGAATTTCAGAAAAGGCAGAAGAGATGCCCAGTGTTATGGGCGCTATTGAAAGGGAACTTAGGGAAAGTAAGTTTGTGTGCATGTAGACAATGGCCTACATTACTAAATCTTTCTGTAGTCTAGAATATGTCAGCATGGTCCTTAGCCTCAGAGACATCCCATTTATATCTCAGTTCTGTCATTTATTTTCTGGGAGAATAAACAAGTTTCTTAATCTCTCTAAGCTTCAGTTCCTTTGTATAAGATGGAGATAATAATCCCAGCCTAATGGAGTTGTCGTGTGCTTTAAATAGGTAACTGAAACAACTCAATGTCCATTGACAGATGAATGGATAAAGATAATGTGATATATATACACAATGGAATACTCTTCAGCCTAAATCCCGTCATTTGTGACAACATGGATGAACCTGGAAGACATTATGCTAAGTGAAAAAAGCCAAGTATGGAAGGACAAATACTTTATGATTCCATTTATATGCAGTATCTATAAGAGTGAAACTCACGGAAGCAGAGAGTATATTAGTAGTGGCCAGGGGATGTGGGGGTGGCAAATGGGGAGGGGCTGTCAAAAGAGGGAAAACTCACTGTTTTCTCCACTCACATCACTCTTCTAAAGCCACCAATAGGGAATTTTACTGACACCAACTAATTCTTCAATTCACAGCAAACATTAACTCAGTATCCTACAATTTAACTCAATTCTGATGCTGACTATTCAGAGTCAGTGCAAACCCCACCAGTTAAGGGCTCAGTTCCAAAAACTAACCCCATTTCAGATGCCAATGGCAAGTTAGATCGTCTCATAAATCTCACTGAACATCTATAAATCAGGTGTTCTCACTAATCTCTCCTCAGGTTCCAGAATTTGCTAGAATAGCTCACAAAACTCAGGAAAACATTTTCTTACATTTAATGGTTTATCATAAAGCATACAACTCTGGAACAGCCTAATGGAAGAGATGAATAGGGCAAGGTAGCGGGATTGGATGTGGGAACACCGCCCTCCCATTACCTACATTCACCAACCCAGAAACTCTCCAAACCTCATATTTCAGGGATTTTTATGCAGGCTTCACAACATAGGCATAATTGATTTTTAACTCAATCTTCTGTACTCTCCCCTCCCTGGAGGATGGGGAATGGGCTGAAAATGCCATGTTCTAATCATGCCTTGATTTACCTGGCAGACAGCCTCTATCCAGGAGGCTACCAAGGATTGTCTCAGTAGAACAAAATATGCTTCTTTCATCAGGAAATCCAACGAATTAGAAGCTCTATGTCAGGAACCAGAGTCAAAGATCAAATATCAGAACAAAGATCCTCCTAGCACCCTTATTACTATAGACATTACATGGGTTTTAGGAGATCTTTGTCGGGAACCAAGGGCAGAGACAGAAATATATTTTTATTATGTCACATTGTTTCAATTCGTATACCATTTCAGTTATTTTAGATGAATAATTTCCACAGATCGGCTGTAAAACATAGTGCCTATAGTTCACAATATGGTATTGTACCCTTCACATTTTGTTGAGAGTTTAAATCTCACGTTAAGTGTTCTTACCTACCAAAAATAAAAACAAACACCAAAAGGGATACAGGAATCTTTGGGAGGTGTTAGATACAGCTATTACCTTGATCGTGGTGGCGGTTTCATGGGTATTTGTATATGCACAAACTCATCAGTACGTATTAAATATGTATAGCTCTTTATACATCAATTATACCTTACTAAAGCTGGTAAAAATAAAATGTAAAGTAAAATAGACAATCAGTTTACAAGCCACTTAAACTTGGGCATGAAAATGTCTCTGAACATAAGTGGATTGATCTGGAAATTTCTGTTATCAATATCTACATTAATATATTATTATAAGTGATTAGATTTGTGTCCCTTCAGGTGGTAAAAATGCTTAAATATGATACTTACACAATTCAAAAAATACTTTCTGAGCACCCGCCACAGGTTCATATAAAGCATTTAACAGAGGACCTTGCCCAGGGTCAATGCTCAGGGGATGTTAGCTCTGTGACCATGATTATATTAAGGATACACGGCAGCTCTGCTTCCTTAAACACTGACATGTGGTTAAAATACCAAAGAGTCACTTTTTATTAGCAGGCCTCATGGAGCTCGCCTGTTTAACAGCTTCCTATGGGAATTAATCTGCTTCTGAGAAGTTGCTTACAAAAGAAAAGGACTTAATTTTAGAAGTTATTTTGTGGTAAGGTAGTTAATAGGACGTTGAGCGAATATTATTTTCGCTTTATGTAATCTATTATAAGTTTACACAGGTTATTGAGTCTTCAGAAATTTTTCGTTTGCACCAAATCCATGCCAAAGAGAAGCTGTTGTTTTCTTAGTGATTTGAATGTTAATATATGACATATATCCATTACGTATATCTCTTACTTTTCCAAGATTGGCACCTATTTTTAATAAGCCTTTAGACTAAAAGACATGCAGCTTTTAAAATGAACCTTCCCCATATGGCCATGTGTTTCTAAACTGAAATTTCGAGAGAAAGACAGATAGAATGTTCTCCTTTTTTGTTTAAAACACCAATCTTCCTAAAAAGCACTGGAGCCTTCATCAAACCCTATCTGTCAGAATAATGCATTTATTACATGCCAGAGAAATACTTGCTTGCTGTGGGTTTGGTGTCTTAGGTGTATGGTTTTGCCATTACCACCACTTAACAAAAGCATTTTGAAACTTTTAATTTTTTGAAATCCAGCAGTGCAATCCCCACTGCTCTTCATCTTGGTTTACAAGTACTAGCTTTCACTGTTAAAGTTCGCGGATTAGAGAATCAGCTGATTCCCTCTGCTACTGAGTGACCACCTAGGCTGCTTCTCTCTACCATCCCTGTGTGCTACACAAGACAAACACGTAAATATGAGCTGAAGAACAATACAATCAGAAAAGGGAAACCATTTAACCAAAAGGTATTTAACGTACTCCAAAATCATAATTAAGTAATTTCTGGATGAACTGCTCTTTAGGAATACTCATAGCAAACTTTTCAGGACAGTCTATCTGTCTGTCAATCTATATATCTATTTATTATCTATCTATTCATTTTCACTTAAATGCTCTAAAAAATAGGAACAGAGAAGAATACAAGATGTTGAAACTCAATTAAACTTAATTAGTAGGATGTCACTTTCCTTTAGCAAACTTAAGTGTTTAGATTATTCGTTTTAAATGCCGGTGGAAAATCTGGGTCTCCCATACTTATGTGGAGCTATCAATTGGGAATTCCCGTGAACTCCTCCTTGGGTTTAATAATTTCCTAGAATGACTCAAAAAACTCAAGAAAACATTTGCTTACATTTACTGATTTATTATAGAGGATGCAACTCAGGAGCAGCCTCATGGAAAACATGGACAGGGCAAGGAATGGGCACAGAGTCAGAGAGCTTCCATGCCCTCTCCAGGCACATCACCATCCAAGTACCTTCATGTGTTCACCAATCCAGAAGCTCTCCGAATCCCGTATTTTAGAGAGTTTAATGCTGCTTTCATGACGTAGGAACAATCAGTTTACATATATATGAACAATCAGTGTATATATATGTATATATATATATGGAGAGAGAGAGAGAGAAAGAGAGAGAGAGAGAGACAGAATCTGGCTGTGTCTCCCAGGCTGGAGCGAAACGGTGCCATCGAGTCATACTGCAACCTCTGCTTCCCAGGCTCAAGTGATCCTCCAGCCTCAGCCTCCTGAGTAGCTGGGACTACAGGAATGAGCCATCATGCCTGGCTAATTTTTGTACTTTTTATAGAGATGAGGTTTCGCCATGTTGGCCAGATTGGTCTTAAACTCCTACGCTCAAGCGATCTGCCTGTCTCAGCCTCTGAAAGTGTTGGGATTACAGGCATGAGCCACTGCAGTCAATTTTCAATTCCGTCTCCTCTAACTCTCCCCTCCCTGGAGGATGTAGGAACAAGAGGTAGATGGAAGGAATGCTAAAACAGAAGCAAGGCAAAAGACTGCATACAAGATATCAACTAACCACATAAAATTTATTGAGTGCTTGGACTGTCTGAGAGATGGTCTCCCTTAGAATATCATTTCCTGATGTATTTTGGCTTATGACTTTCATAATAATATACAATCTTATGCACTCTCTTAGAAACTTTTTACATTTTTCCCCCATGTTTTTGCGTAGCATATGTTAAAAAGTTATTTTAAGCCAATATATTTATTGTACATCAACATGTTATTAAAACTACATACCACTAATTTAATGACATATATACTATCCATAATATATATACATAAATGTAGATTTTATTTTACACTCTACAGGTATTATTTGTCTAAAAAATCATTAAAATTAGATTTTATATCATATTTGATTTTGGTGCCAAATGTATGCCAAAATTCCTAGAATGGAAGCCAGTAGTTTCTTCTAATTGTGAAGTATAATATGTAACTTTTCCCATTGATTGTGTCAAAATAGATTCAACAATATTAGATATCGGGTCAAACTATCCTACATTTTTTTTTGCATCTATTGAGATTATCCTCTGGTCTCCTATAGTCCATTAGCATAGCGAATTCCATCTGTTACTGATTTCCTGTCCTTGAACCTTCTTTGTATTTCTGTCATAAACTGTGTTAGACAATGTTGTATTACTGTTCAATACTCTGTTGGATGTGGTTAAGCTAATGTTTTATTTAGGTTTCCATCATATCTTATACCATCCTTGGACAATTCAAGGTTATCCTAGTCCCATAAATGAGTCAGAATTTATCTCATTTTCTGTTGTCTCTAAAACCTTGTATAAAAATAAATGATCTGTTTCTTAAAATTTAGTGGAACTTACGTGTAACCTCTATAGGCCTTGGACTTTGGCTTAAGACAATGGTTCCCAACAGAGAAGGTGGACAGTTTTGCCTCCCAAGGGACATTTGGCAGTGTCTGGTTGTCACAACTGGTAAGTGGGGTTGCTAGCAGGTGTGACCAGGAATGCTGTTCAACATCTACAAAGTATAGGATAGCCCCACCCCCACAAGGAAGTATCTAGCCCAAAACGTCAAATGGATAATGTTAGAGAAATCTTAGGTTAAAGGAAGAAGGAATAAATTTGCTATTGTAATTTCAGTTTACTTATGGTTTCTGTCTACCTAAGATTTTTACTTCTTTTTTTGCCAATTTACTACTTACAATATTTTAATAATTTCATTATTTTTTCCAGTGTTTGACAGGTACTTGCTCTAAATATTCTCTAAGTATTTTTAATCTCACATATTTGTAGACAATTTACCATTTTCATTATAAATTGTATTTACATTTTACAACTTTTTTCTTGAATCAGTCTTGTAAGAGCTATGTTTATCTATTTTGTACTTTCAAAAGATCAGGTTATATCTTTGTTAATCATCTCTATTGTTTCAGAGTTTTACCTTTTTTTTTTTCTAGTGATTTCTACCACTATCTTATTTCCCTCCTTTCTTCTATTTAGGTTCATTGTATTCTCATTTTCCTATCCTCTTACGCAAATGTTTTTTCCTGTATGAATCCATTTGTTTGAAATTCTAGAAAGGTCAGAACTGCAGTGATAGAAAGCAATTAGTGATTTTCAGGAGACGATGAATGGACAGAAGGTTTAGACTGCAAAAAGACATAAGGGAACTTTTTGTAGTGATGGAAATACTCCATACCATCTATGTGGTTACAGTTTTTGACTCTTCCGTTTTTACTGAAATTCATTAAGTTTTGCATTTAAACGTGGTGAACTTTATTATATGTAAATTATACTTCAAGAAAGCTGATTTAAAAATAGAGCAAAAGCCAGACTTTATGTGCCTCCTGCTGAAGAAACTCAAAACCACCCATACTCTTGCTAAACTGCTGTATATGAATATGATCCAGTCTCTGCATACAGCTATAAATTTGAAGGAAATATAGAGAGCGAGGGAGTATGCTAAACTATACCAAGAGTAGGAAATGAGCAAGATACAGATTATGAGAAACTCTACAGGTCAAATGGCCAGAATTCTTTAATAAACACTTTTTAAGAATTTAAAAGACATATTAAATTGAAGAAGAAGTAGACATGATTAATCCAAAGTGTCTAAGGAATTCACACTTGCGAGATAAAAATAAAAAAAATAGGAAGTGATGATTATAGAAGTCAGAATACTGGTTTTTTGGGAAAGAAGGAGGGGCTCTAATTGAAATGGGCCATTTGGAGGGTCTTCCAGGATAGCTGGAAAGTTCTAGTTATTCACCTGCATTAATGTTAAAATGGTGTGTATCTTACATCAATCCAATAAGCTAGAGATTCTCTAAGTGTGGTATCAGGTAAACAACATCTGCATTCCCTGAGAAACTGTTAGAAATGTACATTTTCAGACCCCATCCCAGGCTTCTGAATCAGAACTCAAGATGGTGCCCAACAATGGGCCTTTTAGCGAGCTCTCCAGGTGATTCAGATGCACTCTAACATTTGTCAACCACCATACTAAGTCATACTTTTGTTCTGTGTGGTTTGCTGATTCTGTGTTTTATTTTACAAAAAGCAGATTTTTGTTTTAAGTTGCAGAGCAACGTTTTTTTAAAAAGGCAATGGGAACCTATATTAATATATGTATATTTAAGTGTTAAATAAAACTAAATTTGGCCGGAAAAAGCCTACGTACTTGCATACTGAGTTCTTACATATGAACCTCAATCTAACTTACGATGTAAACAAACTGAATACCTAACTTAGGCGAATGCTTCTGTAAGATTTGCTGAGTCTCAACCAATAACAGCAGCCATACAGCAGGCACTCACAGGTGGTCAATTATTCAAACATTGCTCAAATGAGGCAAAACCCTGGGCTGTAACCAATCCAGCTGTTTCTGTACCGCATTTCTCTTTTCTGTGTCACTTCGCTTTTTCTGTTCATAATTGTTATCCAAACATGTGGCGACCTCAGAGCCTCTCTGAATCTGTTCCGATTCTGGGGGCAGCCCCATTCCCAGATTGTTTTTCTTCCTCTTTATTGCTCAGTTAAGCTCTGTTAAATTTAATGTATTTAAAGTTTTTAAAAACATATTTTACGTATTCATATAATAAAATGTGGAAGGACATACATCAAACCCTTAGCGTTAACTCAAGGAAGTGGAATCAAAAGGAAGAATTTAGTTTTTAAAAATATCTTTGTATTATGGACTTATTAATTGAGATGAATATTGAGTTTTGTGTTAAAAAACACAAAAACTAAAACATTGACTGAGACTTTTCTAACTTGCGGTGCCTCAAATACTTGTGTCCCACCAGAGGCTAATAGTCCTCCAGTTAAAATGTTTAGTAGTCAAATAAATGTATAAAAAAACAGACAAAGGGTGCAGGTGACAGAGCAAGAAATAATCCAGTAAGTGACACTGCCAGACAAACACCTACACTGACACATACAAAGATGCACACATAGCTATTTTGTAGAGTAGCAGAGCTTTACTAAAGCTCTGTTTGACCTAGTCCAATCACTTCTCCATTCGGTGACTGAAAAGGCTAAAGAAGTATCAGACTAAAATTGTAGGTTCTCTTTGTTCAGGCTATTCAAGTGGATTTCCTATATAAAGGTTATAACAGAGAGGTACAAAGTTTTTTAATAAAGTGTTTATAATTCATATTCATCCCAGTGTTGTTCTTCCTTCAAAAATAAATATTAATAAAAGAAAAAAATTCAGATAATAGGGTCTGAATTATAAGTTGTTGAATAGAAACCTGTTAGTAAGTTTTGACTTAATTTTTATTTTTTTGATACAGTAATTAAAAACAAACCACACCCTGTACCTTCTTCAATAGACAATATCAGCAATAGTATGTGTAGATTTACAGTTTATAAGAATTTTTCAAATATGTTACTTCATTTGCTCCTGCCAGCAAATCCGTGCGGTAGTATGATATTAACACACCCTTCATGACGTGAATCACACACCTAACACTGTTCTCAGTGGTTTACATACCTCATCCCATACATACATACATCAACCCATGCCTTTACAACAGTGCTCTGAGGTGTTGGTATATTATTGTACTTATTTTACACATGAAGAAACTGAGTTACAGAGAATTCAGCCATCTTGCCTAATATCACTGAGCAAATGAGTGGGGGCAAGGAGTGGATTTAGTCCTGGATTCTGGCTTCTGGCTTCAAAGTCTATGCTGCACTATTTTGCTCAATGCCCTCTCTGAAGTGTCATTTCTTGAAATAATGACACTGTGTTTTCACAGGACTGCCGTCACAGTAATGACAAAACAGCAGCAGGGGCTCTATCTGCCTTATGCACATGGACTTGGGATATGTTTAGTGAGAATGCATGTTTTGCTGTTACTCCTAAGAGCAGGTAGGATCTTTGTTGCACAGAACCTAGAATTTGAGGCTTAAAGAAGTTCATGCCTTGGGTTGCCATATTACCAATCATTCAAAAAGTATCTACTGAAATGTGTTAGAAAAATAGTACAATTGAATTGCAGCAGATAGAATCAAAGATGCATAAACAAAAAGATCTTGCAGCAAAGATGCGTAAAGAAAAAATTTGTAATCTCCTCACCCACCTGACCTTCATTTCTACTCTACTGAGGTGAACAGTTTTAATACTTGACACAAGGCTTTCCCTAATCATCTTCTTCAAGGAGAATACTGAAACATAAATGAAGGCTCAAACGTCTTGGAAGAAGGCTTGGTCTTCATTGGATGTACAGAAATGGGGCTATTTTATGTGGATTCCTCTTCAACTTGCTGGTCTAATTGAATAGTAAGTCGTGGAGAATGTTTTGTGTCCATAGATGATTGTGGTTTCATGTCTTCAAAATCTAATTCTGTAATCCATTTTGAAAGTCTTTTTGGGTCTGGGTAAAGACATGCTCTAACAAATTATTGTTCCTCACATATCCAAATTAATTACCTTAGTTATTCCTGCTCCATCATGTGTGAAGTCCTGGGCAGAGACTGCAAGGGGTTCATTGTTATTGCCATGTAATTCCAGTGGATTCATTAAGGTGTATTTCTTCCTCGCCCCTCCCCCAGCTATTCTTACTTGTCTTGTGGATGGCCTAAAATCTCCTTGTCAAACTCCCCTCAAAAGAGTTCCACTGGGACTAGAGAAACATTCTTTTGCAACTCAAAAACAAATTTTTAAAAAGTCAACATCTTTCTAGTTTTAGGTTTTCCTTTTAGGAAAATTCCTGGAATAAATATCCATTTACTCAAGTCTTCTCTTGGATTCTAGAGTAAATTTTAATTTTTTTCTTATATATAATTCATTAACAAATGTCACCGAATAGTTCATTCTAGGCATTTTGATTTTATCACTGTCACACATTGCTTTGTTTTTTTCCATTTTATTTTCTGATGGATTTTTGCTGGTCTACAAGTACTAATTTTTTTATACAGCTTATATATTTATTGCACTTAAGAAACATATAACATTTACTTCTTGTCAGACATGTCATATATTTTAGTAAACATTATATTAAAACGTTTTCTATTTATTTACTGTGGTATCCTCAGGGTCTAAAACAGATAATGCTGTCTGTAGATTTGATGCAGCATAACTTTAAAAGCACATTGTATTCTTTAAGTGCTAGACATTTTCATCTAGAACAAGGGGGCCTCTTGCTTTGGGGACCTTTCCTCCCTGGACAGTGACCTCATTAGCTCTGTGATGTCATCTGCATCTTCAGGTAACCAGTTACATATGACTTTGCTGCCCAGGTTTGTGCTGGCAGCCACATGGAAGCCACACTCTTAGGATAGTTTTGGTAGACTGCTTGGCAGTATAACCACAAGGGTTAAACCCAGCTAGTTAGCAGGTTGACTCACAGCCCCCATCCTGATAGTTCTGGAGATTCCAAATAGGAAGTCTAGTTATCATCAGCAAATGCATTTTTCGAGACATGGAGTTAATGTGACGACTATCCTTAACTTTGTGTGCTGACTTGTTTCCTGGTTTCCTCATTCGATCTGTGCTGTACCTCAGTGAATTAGTTGTAATAATTACATCAGCATCAAAGGCTTGCTGGGAAGATGAGATGAGGAAGCCCTTGCATAATCAATCACCTAGTGCTGTGCCATCCTCCAGGGGGGCAGAGATAACTGCACACAGATCTGCATCTCACAGGGCTTGGCTGCAACTCTTTTTTTTTTTTTTGAGACAGAGTCTCGCTCAGTCACCCAGGCTGGAGTGCAGTGGCTCGATCTCTGCTCACTGCAAGCTCCGCCTCCTGGGTTCACGCCATTCTCCTGCCTCAGCCTCCTGAGTAGCTGGGACTACAGGTGCCCGCCACCACGCCCGGCTAATATTTTTTTGTATTTTTTTAGTAGAGACGGGGTTTCACCGTGTTAGCCAGGATGGTCGCGTCCTCCTGACCTCGTGATCCGCCCTCCTCGGCCTCCCAAAGTGCTGGGATTACAGGCGTGAGCCACCGAGCCCGGCCTTGGCTGCAACTCTTGCTTAAATGCTTTTGTACTTTGAACACTGAAGAGAAACATTCTTCCCTAACTCAAAGCTGCTTTGTAGAAATACGTGTCGAAGTGTTAGTGGTTTCATAAATTTCTAAATGAAATTGTTTAAGTTATTCTACGGTATCATCTGGTTGCATGGTGTGTAAAGTGACACTGTGCTGTGACACCTCCCCAGCATTTCCTTCATTAACATAGTTCGGTGGACCTGTCAGTGTGTGAGCCCGGACCACCCTGGGCTAATTATTCTGACCATAAAATGCCAATTAGTGCCTGGTATCCTTCATTAGTCTCACTTTTTCATATTTTATTATAATATGTACCTGGGTGTACTCCTGGATGAATTTAACATCACTTTGCTAAATTCATGTAATAAAAAAACTTAGCAAGGATTTTTTAAATGCAATTACCATAAAACATACATTGAATTTGGGGAACAAAAACTCATTACAAATACCAAATATTCCCTTTCAGTAATATGTGTATTTATATATATTCATTCAACTTTCTTTTCCTATGCCTTAAGGAAATATTTGTGATTTCTCCTTATACATGTGGAATGATTCTTGATGTTTGTTTATTCCGGTGCATTTTTGTTCTTTTTCATGAATGACTTGACCACATTTTCTAAAATCACTGCTTGTCTTTAGGACATGTTTGCATGTATATATAGGTATAGATATAGATTATTTATTTATACTCACCAGAATAAACTGTTTTAGTGGTTTTCATAGTTTTAAATTTATTAACTTTGGATTTCTAAGGATATAAATCAAGTGAATACCATACGTTTAACAATTTAAAAAAAGATTTTGTAAAAAGCACTCACCACATCCTCATATACGCTTCATACACATGGCCATTTAGCATGAGTCAGACAGCATTTTTTTTTTTTTTTGGTGGTGAGGGGCCGGGGGGTGGGGTAATTGCCTAAATGAAACCCCAAATGCTCTGAGATATTTTGATTATAGCAAATGCCAACAGTGTCTGCAAGGCGCTAAAATCATAGCAATTAGAGAAGTTCCCTGCACTCACTCACAAAGTGGAAAGTATTTGGACATTAGATAGCAAAGCAACGTGCTACCAGGAGATGTGGGCTGTAGAGTTGGAATCATGTTTTGTAACATAACCTCTTAGCATGCAGGGCTAATTTGCAGTTTATCAGAGTATTTTCCAGTGGATTCATGCTTGACCTGTGTGACTACTTGGCAAGGGAGATGGAGCAATTAATACATCTGCCACATGGGCTGCTGTGAAGATTTGAGGAGAGAATCTTCATGTGGCCACAGTTCAGTACCTGGCCTGGACAAAATGCTCAATAAATCCTCACTATTGCAATTGTTCTCACTAGAAGATATCATTTTCTTCCTGAATACGTGAAAAATTGAAGTTAAGGGTAGTAGACCAAATGAAAGATGAGCATTTCCTTGAAGTTTTAGAAATAAAATGTATTGATTAGAGGAGTTATGCATGTTCAAGTGACTGGAGGAAGGAAAGCAAAGATATTTCAAGAGACAAAGAGGATCTCTGGAACCCGTTCTCCCCCCATCCGCCACCCCCACTTACCCTTAAGGCATCCATTGTTGGCAGCCCTGATAAGATAGATACAAAGCCACTTAAATATATCCATATGCACACCCACATCCCCTAACTCTGCCACCCCGCAGGCCAACTGCGCTGCTCCAACTATACTCTCGAGGGCAGGGCATGTTTACCCGCACTTCTGCACATTCAGCTCAGGCAGAGAGTTCCCTCTGTCAATATACAGGTAACCTTTCGAAATTATTTCCTTTTTGAAAACAGCCAGCATGCTATGCATTTTAATTTTTCTAATGTTTTCTCACTTAAAATATGCCAAATATGTCTTTCCAGGGTTTTCCACATCCATAGATTTATCTTGTATTACATTTTAAAATTCCAACTCATAACTCGTGTAAGCTTTATTGAGTGTAAATTTTGAAGTGCTGATTTAACAGTTTAATTTTTTCACAAATATCTAATTTTCCCAGCAGCATTTGACCTTAGTACAGTACCTGTTTCAACTCTGTTCATTCTTGAGAAAAAGAAAAAAAAACCATACAGTTTTAATTTGGTAGTGCTATAATTCCCTTTCAGTATCTATTATGAGAAATATGTCATTACTCTTTATTTCATGAATGAATTGCCTAAAGCTGAACTGACCACATGTGACCATTTAAATTTGGATTTGTTTTAAATTAAATACAATCCAGTCCCATCTCAAGAGTTTAGTAGCCACAAGTGGCCAGTGTCTGTCACATGGGCAATTGCATGTAAAGCATTTCCATCATTGCAGAAGTCATTGCAGAAATCTCTCTTGGACAGCAGTGCCCCAGAGTGTCACGGCTTTGGGGTTTTTAATGCAGTTTCCGGAAACCACCACCGAGATAAAAACCAACATTTTGCAGTACAGTATCTTGCCATGCAGATATGTGGGTATATCCTTTGGTGCAAGGTTTTGTTCTATTCCTCATTATTGTTTTATAGATTTATTTATAAGGGCTCTACACAGCTCTCAGTAAATCATTATTGTATTCAAAGAACAGGAATTATCTGATTGTTACAGATGGGAGCTTTTGAGACAGAGAAATTGAGGGACTTCGTAGGAGCACACACATGAGTTAATATTTATTTTGATCAGTTTTTTAATTGATATTTTACTTACAGAAGTATCACTTGTTCATCCTAACCGGTGAAATGCTGCAAAGATGTACAAGCAGAAATCACGTGGAGTTCCCTGGACCGGCCCTCCAAGGCTGCCCCCCTGAAAAACCAGTTTTAAGGTCCACCTTATCTTGGGTAGCCTCCCTCACTCCTGACCCCTGCCCCGCAGCTCAGAGGACAGATGGGCAGGGCTCGATTTCTTCCTTGGTCCACATGCAGTTCATACTCTGATCGCTTAGGAGGTAGAGTAATCCCTTTAGGGAGAGGTTTTTATATTTCATGTTTTAATGTCCAAATCATAATCTGGCACCGGATTTGTTTGGATTTTTATTTCCAGGAAAGTTTTTGGATTTTTTGGGGGAGGAGAATTTTGGTGAGATGCAAGAATTAACTGCTTTTCCCAAGACTCGTCTACAAATATGCAGTTTGTCATAAGAGCTCTTGGTTCTCATCTTTTGATCTGTGTCAATACCGAAGGCTCCCTGATGGCATTTTTCATACTGTCATTTTACAACAATTTGTCTGGCAAGTATCCCTCATTACTTATCTTTTGTGGTTAATTTCATGAATTTTCTCACTAATTTATTGGTTGCAGATGAGCTTTAATATTGTTTGATCCAACAATTGTTTTAAACATACTGACTCCAAATCTAGCATTTAATTTGAGAGTAACCGGTAACAGGAGCACTGGAGTCATGGCAGTTCTGTTCTGATGACCTCTGGAAGTCTTTTTTTATTTTATTTTATTATTATTATACTTTAAGTTTTAGAGTACATGTGCACAACGTGCAGGTTAGTTACATATGTATACATGTGCCATGTTGGTGTGCTGCACCCATTAACTCGTCATTTAGCATTAGGTATATCTCCTAATGCTATCCCTCCCCCCTCCCCCCACCCCACAACAGTTCCCGGTGTGTGATGTTCCCCTTCCTGTGTCCATGTGTTCTCATTGTTGAATTCCCACCTATGAGTGAGAACATGTGGTGTTTGGTTTCTTGTCCTTGCGATAGTTTGCTGAGAATGATGGTTTCCAGTTTCATCCATGTCCCTACAAAGGACATGAACTCATCATTTTTTATGGCTGCATAGTATTCCACGGTGTATATGTGCCACAACCCCATCAAAAAGTGGGCGAAGGATATGAACAGACACTTCTCAAAAGAAGACATTTATGCAGCCAAAAAACACATGAAAAAATGCTCATCATCACTGGCCATCAGAGAAATGCAAATCAAAACCACAATGAGATACCATCTCACACCAGTTAGAATGGCGACCATTAAAAAGTCAGGAAACAACAGGTGCTGGAGAGGATGTGGAGAAGTAGGAACACTTTTACGCTGTTGGTGGGACTGTAAACTAGTTCAACCATTGTGGAAGTCAGTGTGGCGATCTCTGGAAGTCTTGAGTCAATATCTTCTATAGTATATTGACCAGAATCTAGTATCTGGTATTGAAAATGCTCACTTATTTATTCAATACATCTTTTTTGTAAACCTTGGAATTTTTCTCAATAAGTTTCTTGAAATATTAATGAAAAATTTATTCTGAGTGGTGTTTTTACATTTGTATATTTGTATATTATAGTTGATAACTGCTGGAATACAAGAAAACTATAGATCTAAATGTAAATTGCTCATTTTTCTGCCAAACTTTCAGAAATGTCTTGCCAGTAGTGCTCACAGATTTTCTATGAATGCTATTGAATGTTCTATATTGGTAATGTTACATGTGTGTTAGATGTATTCCAATATCATAGCCAAGAAATACTGGATCATCACATTCGTTAAAGCTCTCGATGGATCATGAAACTGAAAAGTTTTTCAGTTTCCTTGCTTTTGAGTTTACAGCCTACGTTCAATGCCACCACTTCAACCAATCCTTTTACTCCAAGTTTTTTTCAACCTTTTTCTGATAAGTGGGCCCTCAGGTAATATTTTGCAAGGCCTTGAATGCAGACTAATTAGTGATGCCCTAGTACCCACATGAAAGCTCACTAGGAACAAGTTGTAAAGCACCACTAGCCAAAAGAAACACAATGTTAGCGACATATGTAATTTTAAATTTTCTAGTAGCCATATTTTAAAAATAAAAAAGATGTGGAAATATTAGTAATATGTTTTATTTAGTTAGATGCATGAAAATGGTATAATTTCAACATGTAATCAATGTAACAAACATGTTAATGAGATATTTCACTTTATTTTTTCATACCAAATGCCCAGCAAGTGGTGGTGTGTATTTCACACCTGAAGCACATCTTCATTTGGACAAAGCACATTTTAAGGGCTGATAGATATATGTGACTAATAGCTATCATACTGGACAACATGGTGATATTACGGTAGTGGTTAAGTCTAGCTAATGTATTGGGTTGTTCATAATGTTCATATTCTGAGAGCCAGGTATGTAAGATCTCAAGAACTAAACTAACTTTAATTAAATAATTTGTTTTGTTAGATGTGTGACAGCACATTAAAATAATGTAATTGCTTCTATTGCTAAGTTTTGTTCAGTTTACAGGAGTACTTCCGTGTGGTGCGCATTTACTCGTGTTGATGGATTTTCGAGGTAAAAGTAATAATATTACCAGTCATTAGTTCATTATGCAGATTAAATGAGTAGAATTCAATAAAAGCTCTTAGTGTGCTGCCTGAAATGTCAGTGAAAACTCAGGAAATGTTAGTAATTGTCATTATCATGATTGTCATTACCAGGCTTAATGGCATGAATTTTCCCTGATTTACAGCTTAGGAAGCTTGAAACTTGCAGACATTGTTAAATGTCACAGGACACGTAAGTGGTAGGAGGTAAGTTCACTTTAATTTAAAAAAATTGTATGAAAAGTTTATTGAAAGATACGACTTGCTTATTCTAATATTTGAGACAATGCTCAACTATATAAAGAGGAAAGTTTGTAGTCCATCCCCATACCCTGACTCAACCATTACAAAAACCCCCAACTTGTCCCTCCACACTGTTGTCCTTGCTAACACAATCATCTACTAACTCCCATATGCACATGGGAGGCTTTTTTCCCCTTATTTGTTTGTGCAAATATGAGCTCATCATACAAAAGCAGTTTTCTGCATTGTTTTTTTGAGATAGGGTCTGATTCCCATCATCCAGGCTGGAGTGCAGTGGCATGACCATAACTCACTGCAGCCTCAAATTCCTGGGCTCAAGTGATCCTCCCACCTAGGCCTCCGAGTATCTGGGACTAGAGGTGCATATCATCACGCCTAACTAACTTTTTGGTATTTGTAGTAGAGATGTGGTTTTGCCGTATTTTCCAGGCTGGTCTTAAATTCCTTGGCTCATGCACTCTGTCCACCTTGGCCTCCCAAAGTGCTGGGATTACAGGCATGAGCCACTGCACCTGGTCTGCAATTTGTTTTTCTTGCTTAAAAAAGATAAAATAGGTTTCTCCCCAGATCAGTGGGGGAGATTTTATGGTTTGCATTTTATACATCAACTCTCTAACCCATATGGAATTTATTTTGGTAAATGCTAGAGAGGTGAGGTTTTTCACTTTCCTTTTTTTTTGTAATATGAAATTTGTCCTGGCAACATTTGAGTTTTCGGTTTTGTTACAGTGATCCTCAGGTCACTTCTTAAACTAGATGTTCAATTGCTTTAATTATTTAGCTATACAGTGCCACTTGGTACTCATTCAATAAATATTTATTGGTGTCAATAGTCTGTCATCATTAAGCAAAAAATAATAATAATACTCATCATCATGGGACTTGCATTCTAAGTGCAGGGAGAGGGCAGAGATGTAAGCACTGTTGGGAAGTCATAAAATATAAAGGTTGAGGGCGAAAATACACATCCAGGTTAAAGGGGTTCTGGAGTTCTGGTGTGGGGACCGGTTGCAAAACTAAAGTGGTCAAGAAGGTCTTCAATGAGAAGGTGTTTTCTGAAGAAACTGCTAGAATATATGAAGGATGTGAGAAAGGCATCATAGAAACTTACATAGAAGAACAGACCTAAGGAACATCCTGTGAGAATGCCGTAATATAGAAGAGCGGCTGGTCAGTTCTAGGAACATCAGGGAGGCCAGTGTGGCTACAGCGCTGTGACCCAGGAAGAGTCTTTAGGGATGAAATCAGAGAGATAATGTAGGGCTTTGGAAGTTATTACAGTGACCGGCTTTTAATCCAAGATCAATAGGGGAGCTACTGAGGTTTGGAGCCACAGTGTATGTCATTTTCTGACTTACCAGTTAAAATGGTTATTTTGAATATATTTTTAGAAAGCATGCCTATAGGATTTCCTGATGAATAAGATGTCCATTTATTGAAATGAGGAGATTTCCATTTCAAGAAAAATGTGGTATTGGTTAGGAGATCAGTTAAACTTGGTATTATTGTTAGACATACAAATGGAGACGCTGAGTAGGCAATTATGTTCTCTGGAGGTCAGAAAGGAGGTCTAAACTGGAAATATAAACTTAGATGTTATTAGTATACAGATTGTACATAACACCATTAGACTGGAAATATTCATTTAGGGAGTATGTGCATGTCCATAAAGCAAAGAGGAACTTAGACACAAGGAAGAGAAGAACCAGCTAAAGGGACTGCATAGGAACCAGTGACTTAAGCAGAAAACTCAGAAAATTGTGCCTAGGTAGCCGATATGGTTTGGATCTGCGTCCCCACCCAAATCTCAAGTTGAATTGTAGTCCCCAGTGTTGGAGGTGGGACCTGGTGGGAGGTGGTTGGATCATGGGGGTGGAATTCTCATGAAGGTTTAGCACCATTCCCTTAGTGCTGTTCTTGTGATAGTGAGTGAGTTCTCATGAGATCTGTTTGTTAAAAAGTGTGCAGCACCTCCCTTTTGGCTTTCTCTTGGTCCTGCTCCTGACATGTAAGATGACTTCTCCTGCTTTGCCTCTTGCCATGAGTTAAAGTTCCCTGAGGCCTTGCCGGAAGCAGATGCTGCCATGCTTCCTGTACAGCCTGCAGAACTATGAGCCAATTAAACCTCTTTTCTTTATAAATTACCCAAGGTTAGGTTGTTTCTTTACAGTAGTGTGAGAACGGACTAATACAGAGGCCAACTGAATAAAGTGTTCACAGGAGGAGAGAGTAACCTACTGTAGCAAAGCTTACTTATTATGACACATAAAGCATAAGCAACCAAAGAAATAAGTAGATAAATTGGACTTCATCAAAATTAAGATATTTTTTGGTTCAAAGGACACTATACAAAAGTGAAAAGACAGCCCATAGAAAAAGAAAAAAAAATTGTAAGTAATTTATCTGATAAGGACCTATTATCTAGATTATATAAAGAGCCTTTGCAACTTGACAGTAGAGAAAACAACTCATTTAAAAAAAAAATAAGAAAAGTACTTGAATAGCCATTTCTCCAAATAGGCAATAAGTACATGAAATGATGCTCACCATAATAGGTGTTAGAATGCAAACCACAATGAATTATCATTTCACACCCAAGAGAATCGCTACAAAATTCAAACAAACCAACAAACAAATACCAGACAATAGTAATTCTTTGAGAAGACATGAAGGAAATGTTGCTGGTGGGAATGTAAAATATTACAGCCACTTATAAACAAAGTCTCATAGTTCTTAAAAATGTTAAACATGGAGTTACCGTATGACCAGCAATTCTACCTAGATATATACCCAAAAGAAGAAAAAATATATGAGCAAACAAAAACTTGTGCATGAGTATATATGGGAGCACTACTCATAATAGCCAAAAAGTGGGAATAATTTACATGACCATGAACATATGAGTGAAAAAACAAAATATGGCATATTCATACAAGGAAATAGTATTCAGTGATTAGAAGGAATGAAATATTGATACATGATACATCAACAAAATTTGAAAATATTATGGTAACTGAAAGAAGACAGACACAAAAAGTGCATGTATACATAGCATCATTTATTTTATATAAAAGTGTCCATTATAAACAAACACATAGAGATACAAAGTAGAATAGTGGTTGCTAGGTTCTGGGGGAGAGGGGATAGAGAGTGACTGCTAATGGTACAGGGTTTCTTTTAGGGGTGACTAAATGTCCTGATATGAGATAGTGGTAATGATTGCACCACCCTGTAAACAAACTCAAAACCAATGAAGTGTAAACTTTAAGGGGTAGATTTTAGGGTAGTTAAATCTGTTTTATTTATTTCACTTTTATATTAAGTTCAGGGGTACATGTGCCGTTTTGTCTTATGGATAAACTTGTGCTCCAGGAGTTTCATCCCCCAAGGGCATACGGGGCTGGTGGTAGACAGCTTGGTGCTCCAATGTAGAGAGCCTTGGAATGCCACGCCAGAAAGTTCAGATTTCATTTTATCTCTAGTACCAAATGATTGCAAGGACAAATGTGAGTTGTAAGAGCCTGAAACATTGGCTGCAGCAATGAAAACAAAAATGATTGGCAAGATTCCAAAGATAGTTTAATGGCGGAATTGGCTGACTCTCATTACATTTTTTAGAGAAAGGAAGAGATCAAAGATGCTGAGGTTTCAGTTTTGGTAAAGAGATTCACCAAATTCAGTTTTATTCAGTTTATCCACTATTTGCTGGGTATTCCTGAGTTGTGGCAGCAGACGACAGGGAAGTTTGTTCTCGCAAAGACATTTCTAGTGCTGGAAGGCTCAAGGCAAATGTTTTGATAGTGTACTACCTCTAATCAATGTAACTCTATAGTTTAATAAAATACTCCACAGTTTCTTTCTTTTCTTTTTTTTTTTTTTTTTTTTTTTTAGACAGAGTCTCGCGCTGTCGCCAGGCTGGAGTGCAATGGCGCCATCTCGGCGCACTGCAACCTCCGCCTCCCGGGTTCAAGCAATTCTCCTGCCTCAGCATCCCGAGTAGCTGGGGCTACAGGTGCGTGCCACCATGCCCAGCTAATTTTTGTATTTTTAGTAGAGATGGGGTTTCACCATGTTGGCCAGGATGGTCTCGATTTCCTGACCTCGTGATCCGCCCGCCTCGGCCTCCCAAAGTGCTGGGATTATTATTTCTTATCCTCAATGAAATCAAGGATTCTTTTAACAGATATTTGGAATTACAACCCATTAATGTTGCCTCCCACCACACACATACATTTCACACTTTGACAACTCCATTAATCTGAAGAAATGATTGATACCAATTTAAAACCTTAGGCTGGCAGTACCTGTCTTTTAAAATATGTTTTTTGTGGTACATATTCAAAATACGTTGTTGGGTTTTTCAATCTCTGAAAACCATGAAGCAAAAAACTTGGGCTGAGGAGAAGAGTGGGAGGAGGCGAGGCTACTTCCATGGAGTGGAAGTTTGCTGAGCATTTTCACATGGCCCTTGTTTCTATGGAAACAATTACCCTTGTCTGTACCATTTATATATGTTTAGAATAATCTCTTCTGTATTTCCGATCTCAAAGAAAGCCTCCTATGAAACTTGGAATCATCAGTGGGAAACTATTTTAACACATTAGAAATCTGTAATGGAAGCGGACTAACGTTTTGGTCTTCAGAGAACGCTAAATAAAGTAAATGGTGACCATCTGGTTATCATTTGTAAATTTAGTGAACCTTGTAGGATGAAAGTTTACCTCATACCCGGCCATGGACTACATACTTTTAACATTTATTGACTGCTTACTATATTTCAGGCACCATGATGCAAAGTTTTGTTTCACATCTTATTCAATCCTCAGAACAGCTCAGCGTGGTAGTACAGTTATTCTCATCTCCGTTTTACTCATGAGAAACTGGGGCTAAAGACATGAAGTGACTTGTGCAAGATCAGCCTGACTCTACTCTTTCTTTTTTTCTTTTCCTTTTTTTTTTTTTTTTTTGAGACGGAGTCTCGCTCTGTCGCCCAGGCTGGAGTGCAGTGGTGTGATCTCGGCTCACTGCAAGTTCCATCTCCCGGGTTCAAGTGATTCTCCTGACTCAGCCTCCTGAGTAGCTGAGATTACAGGTGCGCACAACCACGCCTGGCTAATATTTATATTTTTAGTAGAGACGGGGTTTCACCATGTTGGTCAGGCTGGTCTCACACTCCTGAGCTCGTGATCCACCCACCTCGGCCTCCCAAAGTGCTGGGATTACAGGCATGAGCCACTGCGCCCGGCCGACTCTACTCTTTTTATGCCTGGCTGTGGCTTCCTGTGAGCTGATCTATTAGGCAGTAGTTGAGGTCTTCACTTACCCTGAATTTCTTCTGGTTCTCCACTACCGGTAAATGACTAACTCTGTGAATTGAGTAATGGATGAAGTCAGGAATGAGTCTATTGCATGCGTGCATTTATAGAAGAGGCTGCAGTGCCAAGACTCCTTTAGTTTTGTGTTTGCTCATTGTGTATGGATGAGGCTACTCCAGTGTTCTCTATCTTTATTTCACATAAAATGCAGAGGATTTCAGGCCTGGGTGTAGATCATCATCACACATGTCTTGTTGTCGCTATGTTTGTAGGCAATAAAGGTAGGTTTAGACCAACCTTGTCCAACCTGCAGCCCATGGGCCACGTGTGGCCCAGGACAGCTTTGAATGTGGCCCAACACAAATTTGTAAACTTTCTTAAAACATTATGAGGTTTTCTTTTGATTATTATTTTAAAGCTCATCAGCTATCATTAGTGTTAGTGTATTTTATGTGTGGCCCAAGACAATTCTTCCAATGTGGCTCAGGGAAGTCAAAAGATTGGACACCCCTGGTTTAGACAGTGTTATGGGTTGAATTGTGTCTACTAAAATTCATATGTTGAAGTTTTAACTCCTGGTACCTCAAAATATGTCTTTATTTAGGCATACATTCTTTACAGCAGTGATTCCCAACATTTTTGACACCAGGGACCGGTTTTGTGAGAGACAACATTTTCACGGACATGTGGGAAAATGGTTTCAGGATGAAACTGTTCCACCTCAGATCATCAAGCATTAGTTAGAGTCTCATAAAGAGAACACAGTCTAGATTCCTCGCATGTGCAGTTCACAATAGATTTCATGCTCCTGTGAGAATCTAATGCCACTGGTAAGCTCACTCACCAAACACTCACCTCCTGCTCTGCGGCCTAGTTTCTAACAGGCCACGAACCGGTCTGGTCCATGGCCTGGAGGTTGGAAACCTCTGCTTTACAGAGTTAATCATGTTAAATGAGATCCAATGTGATGGGTGTCCTTATAGAAAATGGAAATTTGGGGCCGGGCGCAGTGTCTCACGCCTGTAATCCCTGCACTTGGGGAGGCTGAGGTGGGCAGATCACCTGAGGTCAGGAGTTCGAGATCAGCCTGACTAACATGATGAAACCCTGTGTCTAGTAAAAATACAAAAATTAGCTGAGTGTGGTCGTGGGCACCTATAATCCCAGCTACTCGGGAGGCTGAGGCAGGAGAATCTCTTGAACCTGGGAGGCGGAGGTTGCAGTGAGCCGAGATCGTGCCACTGCACTCCAGCCTGGGTGACACAGTGAGACTGTCTCAAAAAAATATATAAAAATAAAAAAAATTAAATTTGGCCAGAGAGAAATGCATAGAAGGAAGATGATGTGAAGACACAAGGTGAGAAGACAGACATTTCCAAGCCACGGAGAGAGACCTGATATACATCCTTATCTCAAAGCCAATTTATAGTCTTGTGTGCACTTGTACAAACACAATAGATGAACAGCATGGGCATGGCTATTATTATTAATTTGTGAGTAAGTGGTAGGGAGGAGGTCCAGGGAAGATTGTCTGGAAATAATGACATCTACGCTGCAGATGTATGGAGGAACAGACGTTATCCTGGTGATTGGGATGCAGTGTGGGAGAAGGGTATCCCAGGCAGAGGAGATAACTTGTGTAATGTCAGGGGTGGGTGAGTAAGAGAGGATGGTATGCTCGCAGGACTCCTTCCTGCTCTGACCTTTGCCCTGACACTTCATGTTCCTGGTTCTCCATCGCCTCTCCTGAGCATCATTTTCTCTCCCACTACTCATGCTAAGCACTGTGCAAAGTTCAGTTCCTGGCCCAGTGATATTCTCCTTTTACTACTTTTGAAAAATTTTAAAAATGCCATTACATAAAATATCATCCCTCCCAGGACCCCCGCGGTATGAAACTCCAGCTGAGTGGCAGTTCTTGCCTACAGCATTTACATTTGCACAGCCCAGCTTCAGCTCAACCCTGAGATGCCAAAATGACACCCTTCACCTTTCCTTCCAAATTGTTGTCTAGATTCTGTATTTTAAAAAATATTCTCATCATCAATAAGTGACCTGGTCCTAAAACCTGGAGTGATCTCTGACTTCTCCTGCTACCAAACACCTTGTCAGGAATCAGGGCCAAACAGTGTTATTGTATACATCCTCAATTGTTTATTTTTCTTGAAATTCTAAGCAACCTTCGTCTCTCCCCATTCTGTGAGCATCTCTCTCCAGCTCCAGTGACCAGTGGAGATTCTGTGTCAGGGCTCCAACCCCAGATTTCCCCTTCACATTGCCCTAGTAGAGGTTCTTCATGAGGGATCCAACCCTGCAGCATACTTCTGCCTGAACATCCAGGCATTTCCATACATCTTCTGAAATCTAGGCAGAGCCTCCCAAGCCCAAGCCTCAACTCTTACCCTCAGTGCATCTCCAGGCTTAACACCATGTGGAAGCCACCGAAGCTTGAAGCCACCAAGGCTTGAAGCTTGTACCCTCATGTTAGTCTTAGATTATAGTATCCTGCAGGTAAATACTCAGAACAACTTCCAGCACTTGAATATCCACTCCTTCCCCCACCCACATACTGGCAGAATTCATGTTGGGAGACTACATTTACTATGAACACACACCCCTGATTTGAAACAAGACTAGGATACATGGTAAAGAATGTTTATTCACTAAAGTTTTGACAGACTGAAGGCCATTATTTCAGATTGGAGATAGGAAACTTAAAAGAACTACATGGACATTGGGTAAAAGAACATGGGTTGAAATTTGCCTGGCAGTAGCCCAAAAGTAAATGGTCTTCGAGGTGCATGTGAAGGAACTGTAGGAGGGAAATGGGATAATTCACATCTCCACCAATAATTACATGTAGCCACACTAGCTTGGGGGATTTGAGGTGAGACATCTAAAATACTAAGTCATGGTGAGGGCTGGAAGACAAAAGAATGAATCACTTCATAGGAATGGCTGTGGGGAAGGGCTTGAAGGAATCATCCTCTGACTTCCATGTGAACCATGAACATTAAACATGGAGAAATGAGGAGCGGCGGCAGATCGGTTTGGGATGCATCTTCAGGGGATGCTGAAACAACAACAGCATTTGGTTTCCTCTACATCCCTGTCACCCCTCCCCCACAAGCCCAGGGATTGGTCAGCAGTGGTGCTTCGTGATGTCAAAGCCACCCTAGGACTGCCATTGGCTGGGACACTGCCTGTATGATCAAACAAAGCTCAAGGGTGTGGCTTTGCCTTGTCACCAGGAGGGTATATATAGGGAGGGCAAGAGCTCTGGGACATCCTCCTGGGAAGCTTCAATACAGCTGTGCAAGTCTGGAGTCTACAAGAGCCTACTATAGACATTCTACAACCAACCAGAATCATGGAACAGCCCACTTCAAGCATCAATGGGGAGAAGAGGAAGAGCCCCTGTGAATCCAACAATGAAAATGATGAGGTAAGATTGTTAGGTTTTGAAGGGAAGGTGAGGGTGAAAGAAAGACACACAGAGAAGGGACGGCTCAAACAGCAACACAGGAATATTGCAGACACCTGTGGAAGTGGGAGACCCGCTTAATGCCAGAGCCCACCGCCGCTTACAGCCTGGGGTGCTTGTAGGTAGGGGTGGGAGGGGCCTGGGCAGTATGGCTTGCTGCCCGGCAGGATATTGATAAGATGTTTTTATGATCAGGCTGTTTGGTCCTTTTTCCAGTGGGATGTCATTGTGGTGTTTCTTGGAACTTTGCCCAGCAAGATACCATAGGAAAGTTTCTTTAGTTGGACCTTTGTCCGTCTTGTGTTACGATGATTAGGCAAGATTTTTCTCAGCCTGAACCCCCGTGGAATGTTTCACTTTGATCAAGGTCTGAAAAATAGCAGGGTGCTTACTAAATGGTGGTTTGGACTCACATTCTTGCCTTCTACTTTAGTATAAAAGGAAGAGGGGCATTGTTGATTATCTGGCTGCTTCCTGCCGAATAGGGGAGCTGTAATCAGGGTTTGGGTTTTGAAGCAGTGGGTGTTGGACTTCAGAGTTGTTTTCCTGGAGGCACTGGTACCGGACTTGGCAGAGGAGAAGGATGGTATCAATGTGTTGCTGGGTGGCTGCCTGGACAGGGGAGTTTAGCCTTCGGGAGATAAAGCAGGATATGAAGGTGAGTATACATCGGCCAAATGTACTATCAGGAGGAGGAAGATTAACGGCCCTAAGAAAGGGACCACCTGCTATCCCAGTGCTGAGTGCATCAGAGATGCTTAGTTCTGCTAACACTAGAATGAGATGTACAGCCTGCTTAGTGTGTGTGGAGGAAGATGAGACAGAAGCTACTAAAGGAACCTGGATGGTCTGCTTGTTAGGCAAAATGTTAATGTTTAGATTAACAAAAAAGTTGTAGATTATGGCGGTTAACGAAAGTTGTAGGTTATGGTGGCAAGCCATGAGAAGGTGGGGGTTGAATTCTCCACAAACACTTTGTTTTAACTTTTATATTCCTCCAAGTTCAATAGCTGCCAGCAAGGGTAGCCCCACTGAAGGCCTGATAGGAAATGTTGGTGGTGGAGGAGGTGAAGGCTGCTTGGTTTTGGAGAGAGAGGGGGAAATGGGTTTTTGTAACTAATAGCCACTGTGGTCCTTACAGGGCAGAAGGATACAGGTTGCAGTTGAGGGAATTGTTTGTGCATGTTTTCCAGGGAGCGCCCTTGAGTTGGATACATGAAGAGTGGCTCTAGCCAAGAGGGGAGGCGTTGGTAAGAGGTATTTTATGGAATCAGAGTTGTAACATGTTTAGTTAAGAGGCTATGAGGTGAAGGAGGGTGACAGCCCTGTGTGTGATGGTGTGGGTGGATTTAATGGATTGGGGGGAAAGGTGATTAGCCGAGCAAGATTATAAACAGGATTTGGGAATGAATTGGTTAAGTAGGTGAGATGCAGGTTTATTTTCGACCAGGTTTATGTGGCCAGGTTGACAGGAAGGGATGTGAACTGCTGGATTTGTGTGGACAAACAAGTTTAACAGTTGGAAGTAAAAGGGGAGTGTGACTGATTTAATGGGCAATGTGTGAGGCTGATGAAGGGGGCTCAACTGCTAGAGGTTGGGGGTGGGGACTTAAGAGTATCCCACAGACAAAGAGGACAAAGGAGAAAAAGGAGATTTGAGTAGGAGTGAAATTTTGGAAGGTGCCCTAAAGTCATACCTCCTGCGTTAGTGTGAGAAATTGGCATAGACTATCCAGGGACATAGGGAAGGGAAACCAGGAAAGATCTGAAACAAAGTAGGAGATAAAAGATTGGAAATTGGCGACGGAGAGTGTTATGGGCTAGGGTGTTCTGGATTGGCAAATTCTGGAATTCTTGTTAAGTACAGTGAGGCTGGTCCTGTGAGGGAACGAGAATAATTTGGGGGTGAACAAATTTCTAGATGTGGATCTGGTGCTCTTTTTAGTTTGAAATGGTGCATTCAGTGTGGAAAGGATGTTAGCTTTGGCGCTGTGGGAGTAGTTAGCATCACCTGGTGAGAACCCCTCCACTTAGGTTGGAGAGGGAGGAGGAGGAGTCTGTGATTCAGACCCAGTCCCCTGGTTGTAGGGACAGGGAGGAGTGTTTTGAGGATGGACTTTTAGGCTGGGTCAAGTAAGCATTTGTGTACTGTCTTATTAGATGTTGGGTGAGGTGTAACGCCGGCCAAGTATTCCATATAGAAGGGGGAGAAAATACGGGGATATTTTGGAGGATAAATGGAGCATTTGTACATGAGTTTAAATGGGCTTAGGCTGAGGAGCTTTTGGGAAATGACTCATAAATGCATGAGGAACAATGGGAGAAGTGAAGTCCAGGCCATTTTAACCGTTAGGGAGAGTTTGGTTAGTTGTTTTTTATAAAATTTTTCCTGAAGATTCGGAGTGGTAAGGAATATGGAAAGCCCATTTAATGTTTAGAGCCTTTGCCAGCTGTTGGCTGAACTGTGAAACAAATTGACCCATTGTCTGACTGGATGCAAGAGCGAGTTTAAACCGGTGGATAATATGGGTGAAGAGAATAGACGTGATGGTGTGTGCCTTTTTGGTGGTGGTGGGAAAAACTTTTATTCATCCAGAGAATGTATCTACTATTGTGAGGTATAGGAATCACTTTCTGGGGGGCATGTGAGTGATGTTGATTTGCTAGTCCTGCCCTGGTAAGTGTCCTCAGGCCTCGTGTGTTGGAAAGGAGGTGGTTTGATAGCTTCCTGAGGGGAAGTTTGAGTGCAAAGGGAACATGCCTTAGTAATATCTTTGAGATGGGCAGCCATGGAGGAAGAATATATGTATGTTTTTAAAAGCTGGAGTAGGGGCAGTAACCGGCATGGAAATGGTTGTGCACATATGAAAGTTCAGAAGGTTTTTTAAACTTGGACAAGACACTTTTATCATTGAGGTGGAACCATTTTTTCCTGAATGGCGCCAGTCCGGGCAAGTGGGGTTTGTTCCTGCTGGGTATATACAGGGTGTATGCTGGAAAAAAATGAGCAATAACGATGGGGTTTTAAGGGCTGCCTGCCAGGCTGCCAAATTTATTGAAAGGTTTTTCTCGGTTTTGGCATCTGTAACCTTTCGGTGTCCCTTGCAATGGATAATGGTGGCCTTTAGTGGTAGTTTATCTACCCCCAGCAGCTTATGTATAAGTTTGCCATTTCTTGTGGAGGTTCCTTTTGTAGTTAGGAAACCCTGTTCCTGCCAGATGAAGGCATGAGACTGTAGGACATGGTATGCATATTTGGAATGGGTGTAAATGTTGACCCTCTTTCCCTTTGCTAGGGTGAGGGCCCTGGTTAGGGCAACTAGCTTTGCCTGTTGAGAGGCAGCATGGGGTGGGAGAACATTGGATTCTAGGAGTTTATTTTCAGCAATGATGGAATAGCCAGCTGCTGGACATGGCTCCCTAAAAGAGCTTCCATTAACTAACCGTGTATGTGTTCCCTGCAAAGAGGCATCTGAAATGTGTTGGAAGGGGGAGGAGAGGGAGTCTAAGAGGTCCAGACAGGAGTGAGAGAGCTTAGAGTCGGAAGTGTTTACAGGGAGGAGGGTGGCTGGGTTGAGAGTTTTATATCTCTGGAAGGTGATTAGAGGGTTACCTATGAATAAGGCATGTACCTGCTGTAAGCAGGATGGTGGGAGGCATAGAAGAAATTGATGGTTTATGAGGTCCTGTAGGTAATGGGAAGATGCAATAGTAATGTGTTGGTAAAGAGGGAGTTTCTGTGCCTCTAAGGCCAGTGATGTGGCCACACCCAAGATTTTTAGTCAGAGTGACCAGCATTGGATGACAGAGTCCAGTTGTTTTGAGAGATGTGCAATGGCTTCTGGGGCGTCGCCGTATGTTTGACAGAGTAGTCCAAGGACAAGGCCTTGGTCGGAATGTACATACAAAGTAAAGGGCTTGGTGAGGTTGGGCAGTCCTGGTGCCAGGGCCATTAAAAGGGCATTTTTAAGTTTTTTGTTTGTTTGTTTTGGTTTTGGTTTTTTGTTTTGTTTTGTTTTGTTTTAGTGGGAATTGATGGGGTAAGCTGGGTTTGGGGATTTTAGGATGGGCCCATGTGAGGCCATGTAGAGTGGCTTGGCCAGCAAGTCAAAGTTGGAAATTCATGGCCAAAAGTATCCCACAAGGCCCAAGAAGGAGAGGAGGTCCTTTTTTTGTGTGGGGAAGGGGCATGTCCCAAATTAGCTCCTTTCATTGGGTTGGGATGGCTCGAGAATTAGGGGTTAGGACAAACCCATGTTTGTGCTACCTGAGATTTTGTGGGTTAGGCCCAATCTCCTCGATTATGGAAGCAGTTTAAAACCTGAGTGGTGTGTTGAATGGACAGGTTAAGGAAAGGGCTACAGAGAAGGAGGTCATTGACATATTGGAGGAGGGCACTAGGAAAAAGAGGAAGTTCAGCTAGGTCCTTGATGAGGGCCTGTCTGAATAGATGGGGGCTATCCTGGAACCCCTGTGGGAGTATAATCCATGTTAGTTGGGTGGACATGTGAGTATTAGGATTTGGCCAAGTTAGAACAAAGAGACTTTGGTAAGCTGGGTTTAAGGGAAGAGTGAAATAGGCCTCTTTTAGCTCCAACACAGAGGAGTGTGTGGTAGATGTAGGAGTATGAGAGAGTAGAGTATATGGGTTGCAGACCACCAGATGGATTGGTACCACTGCCTGGTTAACAACTTGGAGATCCTGGAAAAAGGGGTAAGTCTTGTCTGTCTTCTGGAAAGCCAGAATAGGGGTGTTGTGGGGAGAGTTGACGGGCTTGAGAATTTGAGCTTGCAAAAGTTTACAAATAGGATTGAGGCCCCTTAAACCGGCTGGATTAAGTGGATATTGAGACTGATGAAGGAAAATGGAGGGGTTCTGGAGGGTTATTTTAACTGGGATGTGATGTGTGGCTATTGTGGGTTTAGAAACATTCCAAAGTTTAGAATTAACAGAAGGTAACAGGGTGGATAATGAGGATGAGTAGGGGGAGAGGGAAGCGTTTGGGTGTCAGAGTAAAATAAAAGGGGTAGAATTGTAGGAGCCACATTGCATGGAGGTCTGGGATTTACTTAATATGTCCCACCCCAAGATAGGGGTAGGGGACTGAGGGATAACCAGGAAAGAGTGGGTGAAGGGGGCTGTTGAATAGGTTGCATAATAAAGGACGAGTCTGTGCCTAGAGGGGATTCTATTGACTCTCACAATAGAGATTGAAAAACGGAAAAAGGGTCTAGAATATTTGGGTAAAACCGAGTAACTAGTTGTCCTATTGAGCATCCAATAGGAAAGACATGGGCTTACTAGAGACTGACAGAATTACCCTGGCTTCCGAGGTGGTGATGGCAGTACGGGCGGTGGACTCTAGGCCCCGTCTGTCTTCAGGTACGGGTGGTGAAGCAGGATGAAGAGTTTCACTGAGCACAGTCTGACTTCCAGTGTTGCTTGATACCACAGATGGGGCAAGGTTTCCAGAATGTCCTGGGATTAGGGTAGGCTTTTTCCCAGTGTCCGTGTTGGACGCACTTATAACAGGCTCCTGGAGTTGACTGTCGCCAAGTTGAGGAATTCTGTATGCCTTGGGAACCCTGTTGAGTGGCAGCCACCAGCATTTGGTATTTAGCCTGGTCCTTCTTTAGGTTTGAGGTTTTTGGTTCTTCCTCTCTATTCTTAAAGACCTTAAAGGCCACTTTGATTAAGTCTCTTTGGGAGGTTTGAGGGCCATCCTTCATTTTTTAATGTTTTTTTTCAAATGTCTGGGGCTGACTGGGAGATAAAGTGTAAATGGAGGTCGATTTTGCCCTTATTGTTATTAGGGCTTAAGGTGGCATATTTAGTTGTGACCTTTGGAAGGCAGGAGAGGAAAAGATCAGGGGCGATATTATATATGCCAGCTAGAAGGCATGATATGATATGGCCTGGTTTCTGTCTGTCTACAGAAGTTGCCTGACAATTCCAATTGGGGTCAGTTCTGGGGACAGCTAGGGTCCCTATTGGGTTGTGAGTAGCATCTTTTTGTTGGAGGGTGTTCTCATGGGCCTGGGTGCCAATAAAGATGTGTTCCCTGTCCTCCAGGGTGAGGGTAGAGGAGAGGATGACATATACGTCATGCCAGGTAAGGTCATAAGATTTAGGGAAGTACAGAAATTTCTTGCAGAAGGAGGTAGGATCCATTGAAAAGGAGTCAAGTCTCTTTTCAATATGGGAGAAGTCAGCTAGGGAACTTGAATTCAGATTGTGTCTTCAGGCCTCGCAACCTCCTGCAAGGGAAGGACTTTGGAAGGCCTTTGGGCATGTGCCTGGTTTCTAGCGAAAGGGGGTTGGGTGTGAGACCTGGTTTGAGGTGGAGAAGGAAGGGGGATGGAGGGTGACAGTAAGGGGGTGGAGGAGCCGGATCCGAAGGAGAAGGTGGAGGGAATGGGAGTGGGCAGGAGGCAGAGGAAGGGGTTTGTTGTCCAGGTTGAAATTCAGAGGAGGAAGGCTTGTCCGGAGGAGGAGGCATTTTGGGGGGTTTCTCCTTGAGGAGGAAGATTTGAAAAGGTGAACAAGATTGGCAGAGAGGGAGAGTGAGCTGTGAACGAAGATAAGCAAAGCACTTCAGATTATTTACCCTTGTGTTGGAGAAAGTTTTTCAGATGATGTTGAATTTGGAAGTTGAATGTTTTGTTTTTTTGGAAGAGGGGAGTGAATACTCTGGATGGGAGTGACTACCCCTAAGGAAAGTGAGTACCCTGGAAGAGAGTGAATATCCCAGAGCGGAGTGAGTTCTCCAGAGGGAAGTGAATACACCAGAGGAAAGTGAGTACTTGATTCCGCCTGGAAGAAGGGACCTGGAGAGTCGGGGCAGCCCCGTACTATTCATGCTCCCCAGAGGCCGGAGCGGCCAGAGTGGCAAGCATTCTGAGGCTGTCCCCTGAGAAGGGAGGCTGCGGTCACCTGGTGACTGGGGAGACCTCTCACCCAGCACTTGATTGTTTTTTGGAGAACAGGCAGAAATAGAGAGGAATCCAGAAAGGAGGAAGAGGGAGACTCACCCACTAATTGACGCCCAGTGTTGGATATGATGTCCAGAAATGGGGGTGATCCTTGTTGCAGCAGCGCAGAAAGGGGAAGGAAGGGAAAAGAAAAAGGTCGAGAGTTTGATCAATATCTGGAGGTTATCCCAGGTCTGGAGAAGACTAGAGTATAAGGGGAATGGAACTAGGAACAGGGAGATCACAGGATCTGGAAGCAGGCCCCGGTCTAGTTTGTGCTGCTTTTCGCTTTCTGGGTTGCAGCAGAAAACTTACCCATTAGAACCCAATCACCAACCACTCCAGGTTTTGACACCAAAATGTCAGGTTTTGAAGAGAAGGCGAGGATGAAAGAAAGACACACAGAGATGGGGCAGCTCAAACAGCAACACAGGAATATTGCAGAAACTTGTGGAAGTGGGGGAACAGCTTAATGCCAGATCCCACCACTGCTTACAGCCTGGGGTACTTACAGGTATGGGTGGGAGGGATCTGGGCAGTATGGCTTGCTGCCAGGCAGGATATTGATAAGATGTTCTTATGATCAGGTGGTTTGGCCCTTTTTCTGGTGGAATATCATTGTGGTGTTCCTTAGAACTTTGCCAAGCAAGATATGATAGGGATGTTTCTTTAGTTGGGCCTTTGTCCGCCTTGTGGACAGGTGGTTAGGCAGGATGTTTCTCACGGCCTGAACCCCCATGGGATGTTTCACTTTGACCAAGGTCTGCAAAATGGCAAAGAACTTACAAAATGGTGCACTTTGGACTAACAGGTGACCCTACCCATGCTCCTCTTCTTCTTCCCCATAGATCCCTACCCTATGATTCAACCTTGTTCTTCTCTGGCACACACCCCTTCCTCCACCTGCATTCCTTCTCATAAAGCCCCCCTTGCTATCCAGTCTCTATCCTATTCACCCAAAATAATGTCTTTCTGGCCTCTCCCTGTTTTCTTAACAGATGCAGGAGACACCAAACAGGGACTTAGCCCCCGAACCGAGTTTGAAAAAGATGAAAACGTCAGAATATTCAACAGTATTAGCGTTTTGCTACAGGAAAGCTAAGAAAATACATTCAAATCAACTGGAGAATGACCAGTCCTGAGAGAACTCCATCAATCCAGTCCAAGAGGAGGAGGACGAAGGCCTAGACTCAGCTGAAGGATCTTCAAAGCAGGATGAAGACCTAGACTTACCTGAAGGCCTAGACTCAGCTGAAGGATCTTCAAAGCAGGATGAAGACCTAGACTTACCTGAAGGATCTTCAAAGCAGAATGAAGACCTAGGCTTACCTGAAGGATCTTCAAAGCAGGATGAAGACCTAGACTTACCTGAAGGATCTTCACAGGAGGATAAAGACGTAGAATTACCTGAAGGATCTTCACAGGAGGATGAAGACCTAGAGAAAAAGCGATCATCTAGGTCAAGAAATGAAATCGAAATTTCAGAAATTACAGAAATTCTCCAAGGAAGGAGCCAGATAAATAAATATTCTGATTTCATTTTCCTCCTTCTCCAGTGATCTGCAGGGACCTACCATTCACTAAAACTAACCCGAAGCCATAGAACAAGACAGCTTATTAATACAGTCCATGGTTTATATGAGTAGATTTTTAGCAGCACAAAGTAGAGTGGAGAATGGATCTGGTGAAGCAAATGGACGATATATTGAGAACACTGAACTCAGAGAAGCAAAAGCCTCAGGAGAGATCATACTGTCTTTCTTCAACTCTCTGATATGGTGTCATGTGGAATCAGGCCAGACTTACACTTTTTGAGTGCCATACCTATGATTAGTAGGACCACAGTAGGGAACTTAGGGGAAAGTGGCATAAACTCCCTTAGGCAGTTGATGTGGATGAGTTTGTCCTGGAAAAGCTGTTTACAAAATGATCAACTGTAATTTTGCTCTTTTGGAGCTTGGAAAACAGTACCCCAAAATGAAGACCTCAGGAGCAAAAGTCTTTCTCTAATCTTCTCCTACCCTCCTGTCTCTCAGTCTCATTCTCCCCCAAGGCTAGCTATAGAAACTAGAATCCTTCTTCCCCAAGGTGTGTCATAGAAACTAAACCATATTTTCCCCAAAGCCAGCAATAAAACCTAAAAATATGGCCAGGCGCGTTGGCTCACGCCTGTAATCCCAGAACTTTGGGAGGCCGAGGTGGGTGGATCACGAGGTCAGGAGATTGAGACCATCCTGGCTAACGTGGTGAAACCCCGTCTCTACTAAAAATACAAAAAAAAAAAAAAAATTAGCCGGGCGTGGTGGCACGCACCTGTAGTCCCAGCTACTCAGGAGACTGAGGTAGGAGAATGGCGTGAACCCAGGAGGCGGAGCTTGCAGTGAGCCCAGATCACACCAGTGCACTCCAGCCTGGGTGACAGAGCAAGACTCCATCTTAAAAAAAAAAAAAAAAAAAAAAAAAAGCTAAAAATATTACTCTCATTTTCACTCCGCTTTTCCGTGTAAAAACTAGCCATAAAGAAACTGACTGTAGGTCAGAAGGCCCCCATTTCAGAGGGGTCCCTGCCCCACACCCAGAAGGAAGAATGCTGCTCAAAGAAGCCAAGAATAATCTAGACATACAGGCCTTTCTGTGTTTCCCCACTCAGTTCATTAGTATTAGTTTATACCCTTTTTGTCCAATCCTATTTCTGAGCCTCTATCCATACTTCCTTAAACCTAGGCATAAAATGCACAATTTCCCCTGTATCTTTGGGTCTTCATTCTGAAGGCTCCCAAATACACCCCTTAAACAAATCTCTATACCTCTTCTGCTATCAATCTGGCTTTTGTTGGTGATATCTAGTGAGCTCTCAGAGGGCCTTGCCCGCTACAGCTCTTTCCTGTGGGTGTGAATATCTCACCATGCCTGTTACTCTCTACATCAAAATGTCTAACACTTGCTACCATATTTCCCTGGTGTAAAGGAGAAGGTTGTTGGGTTTTTTAAGCTTGATGTCATTTGAAAAATAAGAGTTATGTTATATAAAAACTTGAACAGTGGCAAGGATGTGTGGTAGCTTGACTGCTAATTTCCTGAAAGTTCAGATTTGAACTTGTTTGCTGTGGTATCATCTGGAAATAGCATGGAGCCTGACACACAACAGGCAATTAGTAAATACTTGCTGAATGATGGCACAAGCATGGACAGTGAAGTGTAGCATGGTGATGAGAAAAAAACACTGATAGTGACTCATATTATATAAGGTTCTAGCCCCAGCTGTGGTTATAACTAAAAATATAATCTTGAGCTAGTTAAAGAAACACCCTTTAAATGTGATGTCCAAGTACCTAATTCCATTAATTTAGATGTAATTGCTAAATGTTTGGGTCTATGTAGCACATTAATCTAAGTGCAAAAACATCCAAAATATCCAAGATAATGGAATAAGTCTCTCTAGTTGAAAGTTTAATACAATGCTGAGGCTGATATCTACTCAAAAAAGTTGAGGATGTTATTTACTCAAAAAAATTTCTAGGCATAGATAGTAGATATAATGATCTTAATTATATTATTATTTTCATTTTACACAACCTTAATTTTTTTCTCGAGTTTTATTTTAGCTACGGGGGTACAAGTGCTGGTTTGTTACATGAATATATTGCACTCAGATAGTGATTCTAGTACCCAATAGGTAGTTTTTTCACCCGTGCCCTCCTCCCTCCCTCCCCCATCTAGTAGTTTCCAGTGTCTATTGTTTCTACATTTATGTCCATTTGTGCTATTTAATCCCTGCTTGTAAATGAGAACATCTGGTATTTGGTTTTCTGTTACTACATTAATTCACTTAGGATTATGGCCTCCAACTCCATCCATGTTGTTGCAAAGGACATAATTCCATTGTTTTTTATGGCTGCATATAATTCCGTGGTGTATATGTACCGCATTTTATTTATGCAATCTACCTATTTATGGGCACCCAGGTTGATCCCATGCATTTGCTATTGTGAATAGTGTGGTGGTGAGCACACGAGTGCATGTGTCTTTTGATATAATGATCTATTTTCCTTTGAGTATATACCCAGTAATGGGATTACTGGGTCAAATGGTAGCTCTATTTTAAGTTCTTTGAGAAACAGCCTAATTTTTAAAAGACCTCAAAAGATAAATTTACTTTAGTAAACTTTAAATCAATGTACATTTTGGCCAGGCGCAGTGGCTAACGCCTGTAATTCCAGCACTTTGGGAGGCTGGGGTGGGCAGATTACTTGAGGTCAGGAGTTTGAGACCAGCCTGGGCAACATGGCGAAACCCCATCTCTACCTAAAATACAAAAATAATAGCCGGGCATGGTAGTGTGTGCCTGTGGTCTCCACTACTCAGGATGATGAGGCAGGAGAATTGAGTCGAAAGGGAGGAGGTTGCAGTGAGCCAAGAGTGAGCCACTGCACTCCAGCCTGGGTAACAGAGTGAGACCTTGTCTCAAAAAATAAATAAATAAATAAACAAATAAAATAATGCACATTTAAATGAAGAATATATCTTTGCCTTGAAATGCTTCACTAAATGTGAATAACACTACTAATAATACTAATGATATCTAACATTTTCAAATAATTACGTCTAACATTTATTTAGCATTTCCTAAATATCAAGCACTTCATATGCATAAGGTAATTTAACCCTCATAAAAAGCTTATGATTCTGGTAGTTTTGCTATCAGCATCCTTAGGGAATGAGAAATGGAGGCCACATAGCCAGCGGTGAAATAGAGATTCAAACCCAGACAGTCTTGAATACAGAGGCTGAATTGGTATCTATTCACTATAAATATTATATCTTGACTTTTCCTCAGAAAGCTCATGGTAAATGCACATGTTTTCTGCCATATAAATTCAAAGATACCATGATTTCATACTGATATGGTCTGGTTCTGTATCCTTACCCACATCTAATCTTGAATTGTAATCCAAATTGTAATACCCACATGTTGGGGGAGGGAGTATACATAAAGAGGGTGGGGCCCCGGGCTATACTACTGCTTGACATCAACATGGAAGAGGTAACTGGCAAACCGGAGTTGCCTAACACAGCTATGGATCAACCAACACCAGACATGCAACAACCAACCACAGACACCAAAGGAAAGAAGAATGAATATCCCATATGAACTCAAGTCCAGAGACAGTGGCAAGGTCAGATCAAGCTGCCCATGTTCTTTCTCTGTCCCCTTAACTATATTACCACTTCCAAGACTCCTACCTTAACCTTATGTGGTATGTATCCCCTCCTCAGCCCATAACCAGGTTCAGTAAACCCTCCTTCCTATGCATTTCACATTCTCTTCTCCTAAATCACTGCCTTATGGGAAGAGGACCTGACAGCACCCTGTTTCCCTACCAGGTGCAGGAGATAATCATAAAAGTAAAAGTAGCCAGTAGTTTTTCAAGGGTGTTCAAGAGAAAAATCTCTAAGAACTACCATCTCTTGAAGCAATCCTACATCAGCCAAAGGCCAAAACTATTCGGTCATTATTACAGGCCCAATGAGAAAGTGAATCAAAATCAGGGAGACTAAGACTAAGAAAACCTGGGGTTTTCTTCGAGTGAAGTGTGCATCCTGTGACTGCAGAGTGAAGAACAGACCTCTCAAAAAGTTCTTCTGTCTCCAGAGGTATGGCTGCTGAGAAATGACTAACAATGTAGAGGTTAAATCTTCCACAGTGATGATTAAAATAAAATCAACAAGTTGTAAAAGCCCCTAAGTTTTCAGTTGAATTGTGTCATCCATATGTGTATGTGTCTCTGCAAGTTATCTGATGGTGGAGAAAGAGAAAGGAAGCAAGTGGTGTGAGAAGGGAGGCAAGAGGGGTTCTGCAGGGTTAGGGGCCAAACTGGCAGGTCCACAGCCAGATATTGAGAATAAAGACTGGGTCAAGACTATACATGAAAGACAATTGCTAATCCAAATGCAAGAAGGAAAATGGCATGGTATTGCTTCTGTGTGTGTGTGTGTGTGTGTGTGTGTGTGTGTGTGTGTGTGTTAATAGTGGCATTGGTAGTAGATGTCAGGGTCTAGATCACCAAAACCCAAATGAGGTTAAATGCCAGCTATCTGCAATTTTCTGGACTCTTGCTCAACCTGCTCTCTTCCCATCTCCAATCTCAGTTGAAGAGGTATTTTTCCTTCAGTCTGAGGCAAATCCCATTTGTTACCACCTCTTCAGGGAATTTAATTCATAAATGTTCTATCACCTGTTTCTTCAATCTTGTCTACCAGCTTCTTATTCCTTCTTGTCAACATTTGTTTTTTTATATATATAACTTCAACTTTTGTTTTAGATTCAGGGGGGTACCTGTGCAGGTTTGTTACCTGGGTACATTGAGTGATGCTGAGGTTTGGTGTACAAACAATCCCATCACCCAGGTAGTGAGCATAGTACCTAATGGTTTGTCAACACTTGCTCCACTCCTTCCCTCCCCACTCTAGTAGTCTCCAGTGTCTATTGTTCCAATCTTTATGTCCATGAATACCCAGTGTTTTGCTCCTGCTTATAAATGAGAACATGTAGAATGTAGTTTTCTGTTCCTTTGTTAATTCGCTTAGGATAATGGCTTCCAGCTGCATATGTGTTGCTGCAAAGGATATTATTTCACTCATTTTTATGGCTGCATAGTATTTCATGTTATATATGTACCACATTTTTTTAAATCCAATCCACCATTGATGGACACCTGGATTGATTCCATGACTTTGCTATTGTGAATAGTACTGTGATGATCACACACGTACGTGGGTCTTTTTGGTAAAACAATTGATTTTCACTTGGATATATACCCAGTAATGGGATTGCTGGGTGGAATGGCAGTTCTGTTTTAAGTTCTTTGATAAATTTCCCAATAGTTTTCCATAGTGGCTTAAGTAATTTACATTCTTACATTCAAAAATGCTCAGTCACTCCCACTATTGAACAAAATGCAAAACAAGCAAAGCAAACACACCCTCCCACCACCCGGCGTCTCCCTCTAGGTAGTAACCTACTTCTCTGTACAGCAGCTCTTGTAGATTCTAGTTGGAGATGTCTAGAATCTAGGAAGAGTACTTTATACAATGTTGTCTTCCAATACTCAATTAACATTACTTCCACAGTTAACTGTAGTCAACATTTTGCTTCTCCCTTACCAACGACATGCTCCTAGCAAAGCTATCTGTGTTTTGTGGTGACAGTAATTGAGGTTAGAAAGGTATGGAAGAAAGTTCTGTGTTTCACAAAAGGTAGGGATAATACCTGATACAGACTAGCTCAGTAAAAACTTTAGGAAGGAAGGAAAGAAGAGGTATTGTTGGGAAACAAATCGAATTTTAAACAAATCTCCTCTCAACCCAGAAAGCCTTTCTACGAAGATAGAAGAGAAAGAAAACAGTTTTATTATTGGATAAACATTAAACCAAAATGTGGTGCACATCACAAGCAATCCACTAACTTCCTAAGAACCAAAAATCAAGTGAGCACTCCTCGTACCTCATTTTAATTTCATATCCCTGAAAGAGGCACTGAAGAGAGAAAAAAATAGTCGTGAATTGCTGATGCCACCCCTCTCACACCCTAGCAGCAGCAGTGGCAAGGTACAGAGAACATCGCTGAGCACCGGGAAAGGGAGAATACAGCAAGTTGTGAGGCATTAAACTCAGTGCTTTCCTGTTAGAGCAGAAAGGAAAACCAGACCAAACTAAGCTGACACCTGCCCACGGAGGGAGCATTTAAACCAGCCCTAGCCAGAGGGGAATTGCCAATCCCAGGGGTCTAAACCTGAATTCTCACAAACCTCACCACTGAGGGCCAGAGTGCTGTGTCTCCAAGTAAACTCAAAAGACAGTCTAGGCCAAAAGGACTGCCATTCTTAGGTGAGTCCTGCTGAACTAGGCCCAGAGATAGTGGACTGGCAGAGTGTGCAGCGTACTGAGACACCAGCTAGAGCAATCAGAGGAGTGCTGACATCACCCTCCCCCAGCCCCAGGCTACACAGCTCGGTGTCCAAGAGAGACCCCTTTCTTCTGCTTGGGGAGAGGAGAGAGAAGAGTGGGGAGGACTGTGTCTTGCACCATGGATATCAGTTGAGCCACGGCAGGATATGGGACCAGTCAGAATCATTAGGCCCCCGTTCCCAGTCCCAGCTCCCAGATAACATTTCTAGATACATCTTGGGCCAGAAGGAAATCTGCTGCCATGATGGAAAGGATCCAGTCTCAGCAGCGTTTATTATCTGCTAACTAAAGGACCCTAGGGGCCCTGAATAACCAGCAACAATACCCAGGTACTACATCCAGGATGAGCCTCTGAGAGTTGCTCTCTTCAAGTACAAACATGATCAAAGGGGAGTAGAGCACCAGGTGGCCTCTGAGGATCCCTGATTCCAGGACTTTAGTCTTGGATAGCTTTTCTGGATCTACCCTGGGCCACAGCAGGGGCTAGTGCACTGAAAGGTTAGTCCCAGGCCAGGCAGCATTCAGCACAAGCTGACTTAAGAGCCCCTTAAGGGAATATCAGTGGAAGTTTAGTAGTACTCCTTCTGGCCTGGGTTGGCAGTGGATACAGGGTGAGGCTCCTCTGCTGGAGCAGGTGAACACACAGAATCAATAGACAAGTCCGTTTTACAACCATATTTTCCTGCTTCTAGTCCCTGACTACCAGTTCCTGGCTCCCATACTGCTCAAAAGGGTTTCAAGGACCAATGGGTGCTCGCCCAAATCCACCCTCTTCCAGCCCAGAACATATAACTGTCTATAAGTCCTCTGACTCCAAGTCCTCCAGCCATAGGGGTTCCACTAAGGGACATGATAGACCCAGGGCAGGTAGCACGCCACCCCAGCCTTGGCACAGGACAAAATAAAAGCTTGGACACTGACGCTGCCTCCAGCACACACTGACAAAAAGGAATGAAATGAAATCTGAAATTAAAATCCATAGCCCCCAACACAATGAAGCCATGCCCACTTACTGGCCAAAGGGAATGGAGTTTGGTAGGCACCCACCAGACCCCAAAACCTTTCTAAGCAATATGAATCAAAAGCAAAAGCCAAAATAAGATTACACATTGAGAAAAACAAGAGAATAGAATTAAGCTATAGTGGGAGAAAACACTGCTCCCAAGGACCTTTAAGACAAAACATTTTAACATTGGGCCATAATAGCAGTCATAACCAAAGGGGAAAAACTCACTGGAGCGGGCATAAAAGCCAAAGGGAAGAGTTACAGGAATCTCAGAAGATTTCCAAATAAATAGGTTTCAAAGTTGAAAAGCCAAATTTCTGGTAATTTCGTGAATTAATATCAAAACTAAATTTGGCTCTGCTATATAGACCATTTTCGAGAAAGCCTATCACAAACGATTTTCTTTAATCATAGCAAGTTTAATCGTCCACAAATTTTCTTTTATAAATTCCCCTTTCTGAACAACTAACACAGACCATCTATAATGTGCTTGAACTTTCTGAGTTGTCCTATACTACCTCTTTGTTAAATAAAACCAGTCATTTTACTCTAGGGCAAGAATGTACTATAAAAGATCCCTCCTCATACAAAACTACTCTTTTTTTATATCCTTCTTTGCAAACAAACAAATACATTTTCTACCCATAACTTTCTTTATATCTCTCTTTTCTACCCACAGATTCCCTCGTATTTTGAACCTCCCTTTTGATAACTTCAAAGTTAAGCAAATAATATATTTATTTTTTCTCAATAAATAATATACTATTTTTTTTTTTCCTGGCCGGGTGCGGTGGCTCACACCTGTAATCCCAGCACTTTGGGAGGCCAAGGCAGGCGGATCATGAAGTCAGGAGTTTGAGATCAGCCTGACCAACATGATGAAACCCCATCTCTACTAAAAATACAAAAATTAGCCAGGCGTGGTGGCATGCTCCTGCAATCCTAGCTATTCAGAAGGCTGAGGCAGGAGAATCCTTAGAACCCAGGAGGCAGAGGTTGCAGTGAGCCAAGATAGCGCCATTACACACCAGCCTGGGAGACAAAGCAAGACACCATCTCAAAATAAATAAATAAATAAATACACTTTTTTGGCACATTTTATGTAAGCCTAGGAAGGAAGAAGTCCTGAACTATTCATTTTACATTGGCATTCTATAGATGAGAACCATTCTACCATTTTAAGATTTTAACCGCGCAACTAGCTCACAATTTAAGCACCTATTTCATTCACTTGTATTTAGCTCTTTAACTTTTAACAGTTTTATCTAGACTTCCTCCAAGATCCAAGATACCACAAAAAGTTAGTCATCATTTAAAGCATCTTAATCATTTTAAAGCCTGTGAACATCAGTAATTTACCTATGCAAATATCTTCAAGTTAAATTTTAGAAGAGAGAACATTCTCTTGAAACTAATAAGCTTTGACTAGTCTTACTTATGAGTGCTCTTTTATTTATAAGCCAATTTCATAACATGCTAGACACAACACACATCATAATACTTGTATATATACCTAAACAAACATAGTAAATAAAACAACCTATACAAGACAACTGGATTCAAGTCATTTACAAAACTATTACCAATCTACCTGGCCAAATTTTGTTTGCCATAATAGGTGTGGAAAACAGGAAGACACAGGAAAGCGAATCCTGCAGCATCAAATATGGAAGGGAGGGTGCAAACTGCATTGCTCAGGGGAAACCCTGGAGTCCCTGAGCCACCAGAGAACTCACACAATAGTGGAGACACTGAAGAAAAATGTTTGGGCAGCTGCTTGTCTGCCACTGCGTGAAGCTTTCTGATGGGTCCAGGGTCCAAGACTCCCAGCAAACTTACTTCAGCAAGGCAGCTTATTGAGGCTGGTGGAATAAGGTTAGCTCTAGTATTGATAGGGAGCTTTTGTTTTCCTCTCACCAGGGATAGTTAGGACATTTTCATTGCCAATGGCCCTTTTGCTTATAGTAGGCACACTGATTCTGCCCTAGGTGCTAGTGAGTTGACGGTTCTTGTCTAGGCATCCCAGATGCTTATTTGGCAACATTTTCTCAAAATGAATATCCCTGCAGGGGCAGGGGGATTAAAGTAACTGTTTGTAATTGTACTTTTTGGATTTTTTTCTTTATTTTTCCCTCTTTTGCCCTGTTCTTATTGCTGTAAACTTTAAAGGGTATGTTTAAGAGTTGGCATATAGGGGTATGAGTTCCCATTGCTGCTTTTTTATGATCACCTCAAAATAGGTTTAGTCCTCCTGCTTTATACTTTTATAGGCTTTTACATTTATATATTTATGCTTGCATTAGTATTATCAATAGTAATAGTAGTAGCTGGCACTTATTGAATGATTACTGTATGTCACATACTGTGGCAGGCACTTAAAAATGATCTTCGCCCCCCTCACCCTATGCTACCACTGTCACCAGCATGAATGTGCACAAGGAGGGCACCACCCACACATCTGCCAGTGCCCTGCCCCCACACCAACACCACCATCAGCATGAACACATACACATACAACAGCAGTCCTATCCCCACCATGCCATGTCACCAATGCTGCCTCTGTGAATACGTGCATGAAGGCCAGCACCCATGCACCCAGCAGTGCCCCACCCCAGTTGATGAGTGTACACCCCACTGCACTGACACTACTGCTGGCACATGTTAATGAGCACTGATCCTGCTGTCACTGCCTGATAAAGTGCTTTGGCTGAAACCACCCATTGGATTATTGTGACCAGTGGTCGGGGAACAGGTTGGCCCCTCCAGCACAGCAGGTTCCTAACACTGAGGAGTTAGAGAACAAAGCCGGGGACCTGATACCAGCCCCTAGCATGAAGCCCAGGAATACTGCGCTGAGCCTTGGCCCCCTTATGTCTTACAAAAATGAAGCCAGTCAGTTAAACCCACCTTATAACGTAATCAAACCCCCAAAGACATCAAAGAGGATAAATGAAAAAAAAAATCCAATGGCCAGCAACTTCAAAGATTAAAGGAACATAAACCACAAAGATGACAAAGACCCAGTGCAAGAACTCTGGCAAGTCAAAAAGCCAGCGTGTCTTCTTACCTCCAAACAAGTGCACTAGTTCCCCAGCAATGGTTCTTAAAGAGGTGGAAATGATGGAAATGACAGAAATAGTATTCAGAATATGAATAGGAGCAAAGACCCTCAAGATTCAGGAGACAGTCACAACCCAATCCAAGGATTCTAAGGAATACAATAAAATGATACAGGAGACAAAAGACAAAATGGACATATTAAGAAAGAAACAAACTGATCTGATAGAGCTGAAAAATGGACTTCAACAATTTCATAATACAATTGCACGTGTTAACAGCAGAATTGCATAAGCTTATGAGGGAATCTCAGAGCTAGAAAATTCAAACAAAAAAAGGGAAGAAAATAAAGAAGAATGAATAAAACCTCGAAGAAATACAGGATTACGTAAGGAGGCAAATTCCACGCCTCACTGGCATCTCTGAAACAGAGGGAGAGAAAGCAAGCAACTTGGAAAACATGTGTTAACATATCATCCATGAAAATTTCCCCAAACTTGCTAGAGATGCCAACATTCAAATTCAAGAAATGCAGAGAACCTCTGCAAAATACTACAAAAGAAGACCATCCCAAAGACAAATAGTCATCAGACTCTTCAAGGTTAAAATGAAAAAAAAAATGTTAAATGCAGCAAAAGAGTAGGGGCAGGTCACCTACAAAGGGAACCCCATCAGGCTAACAGCAGACTTGTCGGCAGAAACCCTATAAGGAAGAACATATTGGGGGCCCATATTCAACATTCTTAATGAAAAAAGTTTTCAACCAAGAATTTCATATTTAGCCAAACTATGCTTCATAATCAAAAGAGAAATTAGATGCTTTTCAGACAAGCAAATGCGAAGGGAATTTGTTACCACCAGACTTGACTTACAAGAGGTCCTGAAAAGAGTGCAAAATATGAAAAGGAAAGACTGTTACCAGCCTCTACAAAAACACACTTAAGTACACAGGCTAGTAACTATAAAACAACCACACAAACAAGTCTCCATAATAACCAGCTAACAACATGGTAACAGGATCAAATCCACAGACAGCAATACTAACCCTGACTGTAAATGGGCTAAATGCTCCAATTAAAAGGCACAGAGTGGCAAGTTGGATGAAGAACCAATACACAATAGTATGATATCTTCAAGAAACCCATGTCACATGCAGTGACACCCATACGCTCAATGTAAAGGGATGGAGAAAAATCTACCAAGCAAATTGAAAACAGAAAAAGGGCAGGGATTGTTATTCGCATTTTGCATTTCAAACAAAACAAACTTTAAACCAACAAATAGCAAAAAAAAAAAAAAAAAAGACAAAGAAGGACATTACATAATGGTTAAGAGCTCAATTTAAAAATACTTAACTATCCTAAATATATGTGTACTCAACACAGGAGCACCCAGATTCATAAAGTAAGTTCTTAGAGACCTATGAAGAGTCTTAGATATACACACAATAATAGAGGGATATTTCAACACTGCACTGACAGCATTAGACAGATCATCAAGGCAGAAAACTAACAAACATATTTGTGACCTGAACTCAACACTTGATCGAATGAACTTAACAGACATCTACAGAACTCTCCACCTAAAAACAACAGAATATACATTTTTCTCATCTGCACGTGGCACACAATCTGAAATCAACCACCTAATTAGGCATAAAATAATCCTTAGCAATTTCAAAAAAAGTCATACCAACCACACTCTCAGACTACAGGCAATAAAAATAGAAATAAAATTAAATAGAAATCACCCCAAATCGCACAATTACATGAAAATTAAATAATCTGCTCCTTAATGACTTCTGGGTAAATAATGAAATTAAGGCAGAAACCAAGAAATTCTTTGAAACTAATGAGAACACAGATACAACATACCAGAATCTCTGGGACACAGCTAAAGCAGTGTTAAGAGGAAAGTTTATATGCTAAACATCCACATGAAAAGTTTAGAAATATCTCAAGGTAACAGCCTAACATCACAACACAAAGAACTAGAGAACCAAGAGCAAACCAACCCCAAAGCTAGCAGAAGAAAAGAAATAACCAAAATCAGACCTGAACAAATAGAGATTGAGACATAAAAAAAATACAAAGGATCAACAAGTCAATGTTTATTATTTGAAAGAATTAAAAATTAAAAATATAGACTGCTAGCTAGATTAATGAAAAATGAGAGAAGATCCAGATAAACACCATCAGAAATGAGAAAGGGGAGGCTTAGCTAGATTAATTAAGAAAATGAGAGAAGATCCAGATAAACACCATCAGAAATGAGGAAGGAGACATTACAACTGATTGCACAGAAATACAGAAAACCCACAGACACTAGTATAAACACCTCAATGCAGACAAACTAGAAATCCTAGAAGAGATGGATGAATTCCTGGAAGCATACAACCTCCCAGGACTGAAGCAGGAAGAAATTGAATCCCTGAACAGACCAATAACAAGTTCTGAAGTTGAATCAATAATAAAAAGTTTACCAAGCAGGAAAAGACCAGGACCAGATAGAATAATGGCCAAATCTACCAGATGTATAAAGAAGAGCTTGTACCATTCCTATTGAAACTATTGCAAAAAATTGAGGAATAAGAACTCCTCCCTAACTCATTCTATGAGGGCAGTATTATCCTGATACCAAAACCTGGCAGAGACACAACTAAAAAAGAAAACTTCAGGCCAATATCCTTGATGAATATAGATGCAAAAGTCCTCAACAAAACACTAGCAAACAGAATCCAGCAGCACATCAAAAAGCTCATCCCCTACTATAAAGTAGGCTCTATCCCTGAGACGCAAGGTTTGTTCAATGTATCAATATATGTGATCCACCACATAAACAGAACTAAACACAAAACCCACATAATAATCTCAATAGATGCAGAAAAGGCTTTCAATAATATTCAACATCCTTTCATGTTAAAAACACTCAATAAACTAGGCATTGAGGGAACATACTTTAAAGTAACAAGAGCCTTGTATGAAAAACCTACATCCAACATCATAGTGAATGAGCAAAAGCTGGAAGCACTCCCTTTGAAAACTGCAACAAGACAAGGATGCGTTCTCTCACCACTGCTATTCAACATAGTACTGGAAGTTGTAGCCAGAGCAATCAGGCAAGAGAAAGAAAGAAAAGGCATCCAAAATGGAAGACAGTAAGTCAAAATATCCCTGTTTGCACACAATATGATTCCATACCTAGAAAACCTCTTAGTCTCTGCCAAAAAGCTCCTTGATCTGATAAAACACATCAGCAAAGTTTCAGGATACAAAATAAATATTCAAAAATTGATAGCATTCCTAGACACTTACAATATTCAAGTTGAGAGCCAAGTGAAGAATACAATCCCATTCACAAGAGACACAAAAAGAATAAAATACCTAGGAATACAGCTAACCATGGAGGTGAAAGATCTCTACAGTGAGAATTACAAAATACTGCTCAAAGAAATCAGAGATGACACAAACAAATAAAAAAGCATTCCGTGATCATGGATAGGAGGAATCAATATTGTTAAAATGGCCATACTGCCCAAAGCAATTTACAGACTCAAGGTTATTCTTATCAAACTACCAACTACATTCTCATGAGATTATTTAAAAACTATTTTAAAATTAATATGGGACTTAAAGCCTAAATCACCAAGGCAATTCTAAGCAAAAAGATAAAAGCTGGAGGCAACACATTACCTGACTTCAAACTATAGTACAAGGCTACAGTAACCAAAATAGCTTGGTACTGGTACAAAACTAGACACATAGACCACTGGACCATAATAAAGAGCCCAGAAATAAGGCCACATACTTACAAGCATCTGATCTTCAACAAAGCTGACAAAAACAAGCAATGAGGAAAAGTTTCCCTATTCAATAAATGGTGCTGCAATAATTGGCTAGCCACATGCAGAAGATTGAAACTATACTTTTTTCCTTGTACCATATATGAAAATCAACTCAAGATGGATTAAATATTTAAATGTAAAATTGGGGATTACAAAAATCCTGGAAGATTACCTAGGGAGTTTTTGGCATGGGATCTGGAAAAAAAATTTCATGATGAAGACTCCAAAAGCAATAGCAACAACAGCAAAAATTGACAAATGGGACCTAATTAAACTAAAGGGCCTCTGTGTGGCAACAAAAAAGTATCAACAGAGTGAACAGAAAACCTACAGAATGGGAGAAAATATTTGCAAACTATACATCTGACATAGGTCTAATATTCAGAATCTATAAGGTGCTAAACAAATTTACAAGGAAAAAACAACCCAGTTATAAGATGGGCAAAGGACATGAACAGATGCTTTTCAAAAGAAGACATACACGTGTCCAACAAGCATATATAAATGCTTAATAGTACTATCATTAGAGAAATGCAAATCAAAAGCACAATGAGACACCAACTCACACCAATCAGAAGGGCTATTATTAAAAGTCAAAAAATAACAGATGCTGTCAAGGTTGTGGGGAAAAGGGAACACTTATACACTGCTTGTGGAAATGTAAATTAGATTAGCCATTGTGAAAAGCAGTTCAGTGATTTCTCAAAGAACTGAAAGCCGAATTTTCACTCAACTCAGCAATCCCATTATAGGGTACATACCCAAAGGAATACACATTGTTCTACCATAAAGACACATGCATGTGCATGTTCATTGCAGCACTATTCACAGTAGCAAAGACATGGAGTCAACCTAAATGCCCATCAATGGTAGAATGGATAAAGAAAATGTGGTACATATACCCTATGAAATACATGGCCTTTCCAGCAACATGAATGGAGCTGGAGGGCATTATCCTAAGGAAAATAATGCAGAAACAGCAAACCAAATACTGCATGTTCTCACTTATAAGTTGGAGCTAAACACTGCGTATGTATGGACACAAAGAAAGGAACAAGCGACACCAGGGCCTAATTGAAGGTGGAGGGTGGGAGGAGTGTGAGGATTGAAAAACTACCTATCGCGTACTGTGCTGATTACCTGGGCGATGAAATAATCTGTAAACCCTACCCCAGTGACACACAATTTATCTATAAGACAAACATGCACATGTACCCCTAAACCTAAAATTAAAGTGAAAAAAGAGCTATCTAGAACTGAAAAGTTAAAACAAGCTTCAAAAAAAATGATCTCATGTAAGTATATTTAAAATGTGTGTTTTGCACTACACTGTATACACCATAACAGCAGCTATCATGTCTTTTTGTTCGCCATTGAATCATCAATGCCTGACAGAAAGCCTGGCACATATTAGGTGCTTAATATTTCTTTGTTGACTGATTAAGGCGTCAAATACGTTATTTCAACCTTTACTGTTTACTCCTGGCTAAGGAAGACATTTTTATTTCTAGTCCATTGGATTCGTATGTTTAGATTGCTAAATTATTACTATGGAAAATATTGAAGGCCAATATTTTGATAGCTGCTAGAGTGCCCATGTTGTACCCTGCATGTTTTTGGAGTTCAAAGAGAGAGACATAGCCCATGACTTATTCACTCTGTGTTGGGCCACATAATCAAAGTAGCTGACATGTTTTTTCCTTCAAGGTTTAAGTTCCGGGTACATGTGCAGGATATGTAGGTTTGTTACAAAAGTAAACGTGTGCCACGGCGGTTTGCTGCACAGACCAAACCATCACCTAGGTATTAAGCCCAGAATCCATTAGCATAATCTTATTTGAGATTTTGAATTTAACCATGAATTCCTTATGGAAAACTGATCTAAATTCATAATGTTGTCAAAGATTTTTTTCCTGCATTCTGCTCATATATGTATGTAATTTCTATTCGGTTGGAATAATCTTGGTATAATAATAAAAAGGTTCTGAATCCATTTAATAGCCATGTGTAAGAAATAACCATATTTCTCCTGTCAGCAAAATGCTTATTTTTTTTCCCAGTGACCTAGATATACCCAAAGCCTCTGAGAGTTACTCTGAATTTATTTTGCAAAAATCAATATCAGTTTCCCTTCCATATTTCTATAGGGAATATTTTCTCTTTGCTTTCCACCTGTCCACAGTAGAAACTTTAGTCAGAGATAAATAATACAGCAACCTTTCCAGATTCATCTCCTAGAAAAGAAAGGGATTTTCCACATTGATTCATTAAGTTGAAATATTCTATCCTGAGCAAAGCCCCAAACTGTACTGAAAGCAGATGCTAGCTGGTGTTTAACATAGGTAAAGACAGATAGATTTTTATCATCTAGTATAATGTGTGCACATAAGACCTTTTTTAGTACTTAATCATTGAATCGTAATTTGAGTTTAGTAAAATACCTTAAAGATCATTAGTTTCAAAAGACAGCACACAATAATTCCTTACACTTCTTTAGCACTTTGCACATTTCAAAGATTTTCAAATATGATAGTACAATTGATCTTCATAACAATCCAATGAGGTAGGTAAGGCAAGAGTACCCCAGGTTCTATTGGTACTTATGATGTTCATTTCTCAACTTCTCTTTGCATTCTTCTACCCTAGATACTAGAAAAATGAATTCTTGGTTTTCCGGTTCCCTGAAACACGGTTCTAGCCAAAAAGATAAAAAAAGGAAAGAGCTAAGTAGTGTTCTGAGAAATATCTGTGATTACCAATAAAAGGAGTGACAGATGTAGTTGGTGTAGCCCCTTTCCCTTACCGTCATTTTCTGAAAATGGCATATAATATGATGCCTAGAAGTACAGGAGCCATCTTACAGCCAGATGGTAATGATGGTGAAACAGAAAGTTAGAAAGAGCTTGGGTCCCTTAATTCATTGTTGAGTACTTAAAACAATGGCTGCAATGGATTATTTTTGGATTTTTTGTTGTTGCTGTTGTGAGAGAAGATAACCTTTATTTGGTCAGGCCACCTGTAGACTGGGTAATGTATAAAGAAAAAGAGGTTTAATGGACCCACATTTCCACATGGCTGGGGAGGCCTCACAATCATGGTGGAAGGCGAAGGAGGAGCAAAGGCATGTCTTACATGGCTGCAGGCAAGAGAGTGTGTGCAGGAAACTGCCCTTTATACAACCATCAGATATCATGAGACTTATTCACTATGATGAGAACAGCATGAGAAAACCTGCCCCCATGATTCAATTACCCCCCACCAGTTACCTCCTATAACACATGAGGATTATGGGAGCTACAACTCACGATGAGATTTTGGTGGGGACACAGCCAAACCATATCACCATTATTCAGGTACTTTGTTATGTGGCTATACATTCTTAGCTAATGGAGTTGGGATTCATCATCATTTAATAGATGAGGAAAATGAAACCTAAGTGAATTAAACATGCCTATTAATATAATAACAATAGGGTGATGCTTCTTTAGCATTGTGTAGGTTTCAATATGCTAATATATATTAAGTGAAATTTTAATAAGACTATGAAAATCATGATACTTTTAAAAATAGAGCAAACCTTGGTAAAGGTCTCAGTTACTCCTAGAGTAGAGTGCAATACCATTTTATGGAGCCTGCCCTGAGCTCTGACAGTTCCCATAGTTATAAAAAAAATCTTGAGGAAAATAGTCATTTCAGAAAATATGGATACACTCCATATTTAGAATTTCTATGCTGATAATGGGAAAAAATGCCACATATTTTTTCCAGCTTCACCAATACTGTTCCTATGGATTGTTTCCAGTTTGTCTGTAAGGAAGAGTACTTCTACAAGGATTTGTTTCAAAGTCTCCTGGTAAATATATGTATGCACTTTCCTATGATGTATTTACTCAAGAGTGTAATTGATGGGCTACACAGTGCATGTGTCTTCAAATTTACTAGATAATTCCCAAATGTTTTTCAAAGTGGTTGTATTAATTGTACACTTCCACCAGAAGATTATTCAAATTTATCTTCCTTAATATCCTCTTCACCCCTGAATGCTAGCAGATTTCTAAAATTTTGCCAATCTGGAATGAGAGTAATGGTCTCATACTGTGGTTTTAATGTATACTTTTGTGATTACTAATAAGCTTGAGCACCATTTCAAACACTGATGAGGTATGTAAAATTCCTGTTTTTAAGGAACCATTTAAATCTTTTGTGTGTTTTTCTATAGAGTTGTCTTTTTCGTATTGATTTGTAGGATATATATGTATAAGTATATGTATATGTATATATACCCCCCACACACATATACTTACTATATATATATACACATATATATACACACATATATATACACATATATATATACACATATATATATACACATATATATATACACATATATATATATACACATATATATATATATATATATATATATATATATATATATATATATATAAAACAACAGTTTTGAGTTTATTGGAGTTTTAAGGGCATTAGTTGTCTCCCTGAGAATCAAACACACACCTAAACTTCCAGCACAATTTGTTCTGATTTTATGGTTGCCTTTACATAATTAGATACTTTAGAAAGTTTGATGATTCTCATAATATTTGGATTTGGTTTAATTAAATTTAAATTAAATTTAAAGTAATTTGCATACTTTTGTGAGCACCATTTAGATAAGGAGGGTTTCTTCCGTTATAGTCACCTCTTCTCAGATGACAGGACATGGTTTTGGAGAAGTAGTAGTTTAATTTAAATCACTGCATCCACCTGCAACAATAAGTACAACATGTGCCATACAAATATTTTTGGTATATGGAGTTGTTGGTTTCAGCTCCCATATACATTATTTACCTCTTTCTGCTTATTTGGATTTAATTTGCCCTTTGTTTTTTTTCAGCTTATTAAAGTGGAAACTTGGATTAAGTTTTGTGACATTTCTTTTTTTTTTTTTTTTTTTGAGATGGAGTCTTACTTTGTCACACAGGCTGGAGTGCAGTGGTGCCATCTCGGTTCACTGCAACCTCCACCTCCCAGGTTCAAGTGATTCTCCTGCCTCAGCCTCCGGAGTAGCTGGGACTATAGGCATATGCCACCACACCCGGCTAATTTTTGTATTGTTAGTAAAGACGGGGTTTTGCCATGTTGGCCAGTCTGGTCTCGAACTCCTGACCTCAAGTGATCCATCTGCCTCGACCTCCCAAAGTGCTGGGATTACAGGAGTGAGCCACCGCACCTGGCCTAAGTTTTGTGACATTTCTTATTTAGGACTTTAATCCTCTAAATTTTCATTTAATCACTACCTTGGCTGCATCTCACAAATGTTGATAAATTGTGTTTTTATTTTCATTCATTTAAAAATGCTACCTAATTTTTTTTCTTTGACCCATGGTTTATTTTGAGGTGTGTTATTTAGTGTCCAAGTATTTGGGTGTTTTCCTGATATATCTCCAATTTGGAATTCTAATTTCATTTCTTTGTGGTCAGAAATAATATTTTGTATGATTTGAATTTTTTTGAAATTCGATGAGCTTTCCTTATGGCCCAGAATATGGTTTATATCAGTATATATTCTATATGAATTGAATTAATGTTTATACTCATGTTGTTGGATGGGGTATTTGATAAATATCAGTTAGATAAATGTGGTTGAAAGTATTGTTCAGTTCTTCAGTGTCCTTACTGATTTTCTTTCTAATGATTGCATTTATTACTAGGAAAAGAATGTTGAAGTCTCCAAATGTAATTGTGGATTCTTTTATTTCTTCTTTCAGGTCTATTATTTGAAGCTCTATTGTTAGGTGCACATACACTTAGGATTGTTATGTTGTCTGATCTTTTTATAATTATGTAATGTCCCCCTTTATCTCTGGTAATAGTCCTTGAAGTGTATATTGTGTAATATTAATATAGCTACTCTATCCTTCTTTAGATGTTTGTTTTCATACTATATATTTTTCTCCTTTTAATGTATCTATGTCTTTAATTTTAAATGATTTCTAGTATGTAGCAAATATATGCGTCTTTCTACTAAAATCCAACTTGTATTTTATTTTGTGTCCTAGGTACTTTATAGTTAAATAACAATTATGGTTAGATTAAAATCTACCATCTTGCTAGTAGTTTGCTACTTGTTACATCTTTGTGTCCTTTTTCTTCCTTTATACCTTCTTTTGAATTCATTTTTATATTCCATTTACTCTTCACCATTAAACAGGGTAAATTGTCTTCAGCTATTTCTTCTTCCCTAGCATTTCTTCTTCTACAATTCCAGTTACACATATGCTAGTGTTACAGGTAGTTAGGTTGGCATGAGTGGGACACTAGAGGGCTCTTCTCTCCCACCCACTGGGGATGTCAGGGGATGGTTTGACAATTATCACACTGTCTCTCTAAAAATGATAATTGGGCAGCCCCACGCCCCCACCTCCCCATCGCCCCGTACCAGGGAGAAGCCATTTCCTGGTGACCCACAGCTATTGCCATTAAAGTGTTAATTGTATGCAGATGCCAGGGAGAAGAAACGTCCTGGGCTTGGGCACTAAGAGATAAAACTGGGAAATATGACCTTCTGGGGACACTCCACCGGAGAAAGGGAAGAAAGCCTCAGATGGGCATGGATACAACTTACGAAACACACCGTGTGTGCTCACTTCCCAAGGGTGAGAAGAGCACCTTGTATATGGGAAGCCCACCCTAAGGGAAGAACCATGGAAAAGAGGTGAGCCTATAAATTCCTAGGACCAAGCAAGGTTAGATGCCTCTTTTTGACCCTCTTTGACCTTCAGGCGCCCTCACTGGATCTCTTCCAAGTGAACTTTTCTTTCTTTGCTGTTCTAAACCCTTTGTAAATAAACTTTCATGCCTGCTCTGAAACTTGCCTTGGTCTCTTTTTCTGCTTTATGCCCCACAGTGGAATTCTTTTTTCTGAGAAGGCAAGAACTGAAGTGGCTGCAGACCCTTATGGATACACCACCGTAAGTTACTCGAGGTAACTCAAATCTCTTCTACCGGTAACACTAGGCTGTTTTTATAGTCTCACAAATATTGGATGTTCTCTTTGCTTTTTTTCCCCCCACTCTTCTTGTTCTGCTTCACTTTGGATAATTTCTCTTGATTTATCTTCTTCAAGTTCAGTGATACTTTTCTCAGCATGTTCCACTCTAGTAATTAGTCTATAATTTGAAACTCTTTGCTGTAATTATCCATTTAACCATGGACGTTTTTCTTTTCCATTAGAGCCTTTTATCATTTTAGTCATAGTTATTTTCAGTTTCATGTCTGACATAGTTCCAACAGCTCTGTCATATCTGAATCTAGTTCTGTTGATTTCTTAGTGTCTTGACACTGTTTTTCTTTTTCTTGCTTCTTCTCCCTCAAAATTTTTTGTTGAAAGCTGGATTTTTTTTTTTTTTGTAGAAAATAGGGACTAGGGTAAATACATTTTATGGCTGTAAATAAGCGTATTTTTTCTTCTGCTAGGCGCTTAGTGTGGGGTATTAAGTCAATATAGTCTGCAGTTGAGCTGTTTGAGTTTTGTTCCTGCTATGGTTACTCTCAGTGCACAGCAGGATTCAAAAATCCACTTGTTTTGCTTTGTATTTAGGATGAGGACAGGTTTGTCAAAGGGATTTTTCACAATGCCCTTTCCACCTTTAGCTTTAGGTCTGAACTGTTGCATGTACACCAGAGAGCGTTTGTCTCTGCGTTCTTGTCCCTTCCCCAGTTTATACTGAGCAAGTATATTGCTGTCATTTGGTATTGTAAACCTGTTACACTAGGATGATGGTGGGGATGTCATAAAGCATTCTCTTCTTTTCATCTAGCCTCAGTTTTAGGCCTTAATATACCTTATGTGTTTCTGAGTCTTCAAGTGAGACCATGTCAAAGACTTTCCTGCTGTCCATTATGGCCAGTCTCAAATGATCTGGGCCCAGGACACAATCCTGTCTCTCTCCTACAGCTAGAAAATTATTTTTCTTTTTAGTTCCCTAAGCTATGTTTGGTCTTCTGTAGTTTCCTATGGGCAGCAGTGTTAATTGCTATTTCCCCAGCAGGTTAAGCCTTTTGTTTTATAGGGGAGTGAGAGGAGAAAAATGTAGAAGGTCCTCATTTACTTCCATCAGTGGCTACAGTGCTCTTTCCTCAAGCCAGCACCACAGCAAATAGTGTCTCAGTACTCTCTCCCTGTACCATACCTTTCTCTTGAGCATCTGGTGAAGACTGTGAGTGGTAAAAGTTCCTTTGTCTGAGACTTATAGACTTACTATAGCTATTAATGATTATTCAAATTTTTGCAGTATGAGTTGTATTGTCTCCTTTTTCATCTCTGACATTATTTGGATTTTTTTTAGTCTGGCTAAAAGTTTGTTAATTTTGTGTAACTTTTCAATAAATCACCTTTTTGTTTCATTGATCTTTGTTTTATTTCTTCAGTTTTATTTATTTATGCTCTGATCTTTATTATTTCTCTTCTTCTAATATTACATTTGTTTTGTTTTTGCAGGCACTTATAGCTATAAACTTTCCTTGTAGTACTGTTATTGCTGTGTTTCATAGGTTTTGGTATGCTGTGTTTTGATTATAATTGGTTTCAAATTTTTTTTCAATTTCCTTCTTAATTTCTTCATTGGCCCACTTGTCATTTAGAAGCATATGATTTAATTTCTATATATTTGTATAGTTTCCAATATTCCTCTTCTTATTGATTTTCATCTTATTCAACTGTGGTCAAAGATGCTTAATATTATTTCCATTTGTTAAATGGTTTATTTAACAATGTTAAATGGTTAAATTTGTTAAATGGTTAATTGTTTTTGGCCTAACATATGGTCAGTCCTTGAAAATAATCGATATTCTTAGGAAAAGAATGTGTATTCTACAGCCACGAATGAATTAGTCTGTAAGCATTTATCTCTTCAATCAATTTGGTCTATCGTGCAAATTAAGTCCAATGTTTATTTCCTGATTTTCTGTCTGGAAGATCTGTCCAAAGCTGGAAATGGGGTGCTGAAGACTCTAGCTGTTATTGTATTGGGGTATCTCTCTTTAGCTATAATAATATTTGCTTTATATATCAGGGTGGCACAGTATTGGGTTCATATATATTTACATTTGTTATATTCTCTTTTTTAGTCCACCTGCTCATCATTACATAGTGACTTTTTTTGTCTCTTCTTATACCTTTTTTTAATCTGCTTTTTCTGATATAAGCTTAGCTATTTTTGCTTCTTTTTGTTTGTTTGTTTGTTTCTTTTGGCATGGAATATCTTTCCATCCCTTTATTTTCATTCTATGTGTGTCTTTAGAGGTGAAGTGTGTTTTTTGTGGGAAACGGGTTATTCACTGCATCTTGTTTTTTCATCCACTGAGCCATTCTATGTCTTTTGACTAGAGTTTAGTTCATTTACATTCAACATTACTATTGATAAGTAAAGGCTTACTCCTATCATTTTGTTATTTGTTTTCTCATTGTTTTATAGTCTTTTCTTCCTTCTTTCTTTCCTTCTTCTCTTTCTTTAGTGAAGGTAATCTTCTCTGGTGATATAATTTAATTTCTTGCTTTTTATTTTTTGTGTATCCATTTTTTGTTTTTTGGTTTTATGTTACCATAAGGTTTGCAAATACTATTTTATAACCCATTATTTTAACCTGATAACTTCACATTGTTTGCATAACCAATAAAAAATACAAACTCTACATCTTTACATTTCCCCCCTTATCTTTTCCCTGTATTTATTTACATCTTATTGAATTATGTCTTGAAAAGTTGTTGTAGTTATCATTTTTGATGGGTTCACCATTATTTTATCCTGACGATAAGAATAGTTTACATACCTGAGTTACAGTATTATAATATATTGTGTTTTTCAGTGTACTTGCTATAACCAGTGAGTTTTATACCATCAGGTGATTACTTATTGCTCATTAACATCATTTCTTTTCTGATTGATGTATTTGCTTTAGCATTTCTTATAGGCCAGGTATGATGTAGATTAAATTCGTCAGCTTTTGTTTTTCTGGTAAAGTGTTTGTTTTCCATTCATGTTTGAAGGATATTTTCACTGAATATGATATTTAGAGTAAAAGTTATTTTTCCTCAGCACTGTAAATATATCATGCCACTCTCTCCTGGATTGTATGGTTTCTACTAGAAAGTCTGTTACCAGATGTATTGGAGCTCCATTTTATGTTATTTGCTTCTTTTCTCTTGATGCTTTTAGGATCCCTTGTTTACCTTTGATCTTTGGAGTTTTATTGTTAAATTCCTTGTGGCAGTCTTCTTTGGGTTATATCTTCATGTTCTATAACATTTTTATACTTGAATATTGATATTTTTGTTTAGGTTCGGGGAATTCTCTGTTGCTATTTTTTTGAATAATCTCTCTACCCCTCTCTCTTTGTCTACCTCCTCTTTAACACTTAGACTTACCCTGTTAAGGGTTTTTTCTAGATCTTGTAGGCATGCTTCATTGGTTTTTGTTTGCATGTTTGTTTTGTCTCCTCTGACTGTGTATTTTCAAAGAGCTTGACTTCAACCTCATTAATTTTTTTTTTTCTGCTTGATAAATTCTGCTATTAAGAGACTCGGGTGCATTCTTCACTATGCTAATTGCATTTCTCCGCTCCAGCATTTCTGCTTGATTCTTTGCATTTCAATCTCTTTGTTAAATCCATCTGATAGAATTCTGAGTTTCCTACCTGTGTAATATTGAAATTCTTTCAGTTTCCTCAACATATATATTTTGAATTTTCTGTTTGAAAGGTCCCATATCTCTTTCTTCAAGATGGGTTCCTGGTGACTTATTTAGTCCATTGTGTGGTTATGTTTTCTGAATACTTTGCTTGGTTATGTTTGTCTTCATACTTTGTGTATGTCTGGGGATGGAAGAGTTAGGTATTTATTTTACTCTTCACTGTCTGGGCTTGTTTGTACCCTTCCTTCTTGGGAAGTCTTTCCAGATATTCACAATGACTTGAGGGTTGTGATATAAGCTGTATATGCTTATGGGGTTTCTCAAGCACAGTAACGTGGTTCTTCCAGACTTGTAGAGGTACTGCTGTGACAGTCTTGAACACAACCTGGAAGAGTAATCTTCCCTTACTTTATCTTAAACAAACGGAATGTCTCTTTCTGTTCACAGCCACTTGATGCTGGGGGTGGAGTGACACAAGCACCCCTCTGGTCACCACCCCTAGGACTGCACTGGGTCAGACCTCTAGCCATCACAACAGTGGGTCTCACCCAAGGCCTGCAGTAACCACTCCCTGGCTACTTTTTGTTTGCTCAAGACCCTGAATTCTAAAATAAGCAGGTGACAGATATATCCAGTCCTGTGTCCTTCCCTTCAGGGCAGTGAGATTCCCCAGGCCCTGGGTGGGTCCAGAGGTACCATCAAGAGCAAGGGACCAGACTCAAAAACCTTAGATTCCTACCTGGTGCTCTGTTCTACTGTGGCTAAGCTGGTACTCAAACTGCAAGACACCATCCTTACCACTCTTTCTTCCCCTTCCCAAAAGTAGAGGAGCCTCACCTTGTGGCCACTGCCACCACAGGCTGAATGGGAGCACTGTCAGACTACTGCCAATGTTCCTTTAATGCCCAAGGGCTCTCCAGTCAGCTTTTGATAAATGCTGCCTGGCCTGGGACTCAAACTTCAGAGCAGTGGGCTATCTTCCAGCCTAGGGCAGTTACAGAAATGGCGTCGAGGAACCATGTCCTGGAATCAGGGATCCTGAGAGCCTGCGTGGTGCTTGACACTGCTGTGACCGAGCTGGTACCTAGATGCAATATAAAGTGCCCGTTATTTTCTCTTTGCTTTTCTCAAGCAGAAGGAGTTTTGTCCTATAGCTACCACAGTTGTTAATGTGCTGAGTCTTAACTGAATCCAGCACATCTCAGAGGCTCACCCAAAGCCCTCAATGCAGTACCTGGGTATCACTGCTCATTATTCAGGACCCAAGGGCTCTTCAGTTAGGAGGGGATGAATGCTGCCAAGGCTGGTCCTTCCCTCCAAAACAACAGGTTCCCTTCTGGCCCGGGGTGTGTATAGAAATACTATCTGGGAGCTAGGTCCTGGAAAGAGGGCCTCATGATTCTGACCAATTTTATATTCTGCTGTGCCTGAGCAGGTATCCAATATGCAAAACAAACTCCTCCCCATTCTTTTCTCTCCTCTCCTTAAGTGGAAGAAAGGGTTTTTTTTTTGTTTTTGTTTTTGTTTTTGTTTTTCATAGCTGTGAGCTTTGTAGCCTTGGGTTAGGGGACAAGTGATGCCAGCACTTCCTTAAGCCTGGTGTCTCAGTAGGTCATGTGCCCCCCAGTCTACTGGTTCTGGGATCAGTTCAGCAGTAGCACTTGCCTCAGTGTTGCAGTTCTTTTGGCCTAGACTGTATTTCACAATTATTTAGATCCCCATTGTACTTTAGGCTGTGGTGGTGAGGCTTGCAGTAATTCAAATTCTGAACACTGGGATCAGTGACTCTCCTCTGGCTAGAGCTGGTTTGACTGCTCCCTCCAGGGAAGGCATTGGCTGAGTTTGGTCTGGTTTTACATTCTGCTCTAACAGGACAGCACTGAGTTTAGTGCCTTACAATTGTTGCGTTCTCCCTCTCCCAGCACTCAGAAATGCTCTCTGGATCATGCCGCCACTGCCAGGTTATAAATTAGGGGTAGTGTCTGCAACTTGAGACTGTTTCTTTTTACCACTTCTGTGCCTCTTTCAGCATTACAAAGTGAAAACCAGGTACTTTGAGTGCTCACCTGATTTTTAATTTTTATAAAGGTGTTTCTTTTGTGCAGATATTAATAGTTGTTGAATTGGTGTCCTTCTTGGGGAAACGATCAGTGGAGCCTTCAATTCAACTGTCTTGCTATGCCTCTTTGCCCCAGAGTGGAATTTCTGAATTATACGGTAGTTGTATGTTGAATATTCCGTGGAACTGGTAGTGTTTTCAAAATTATACATATTATATATAATTTTGTTAAAAAGTAAATTGCTTGAACCATGAATGATTATTTACTTATCATAAAATTGATACTGAATCTGCCAGTGCTCGATTTCCATTTGCTAGCTTTTTTTATTCTAGCCTTTTGTAATCACTTTTCCTATTTTCTGTATTAGTATACTCAATTTTCAGCTCACTTTTGATAATAATAGTAAAAGATCAAATAATTGTATAATCTCTGACTTTTTGTTAGTGCAATACTTATGCTTTCCAGTACTTGGCATTCCTTGTTGAAACAGTTTATTTTAATTAATAGCACTTTTAATTTTCTATTACTATCTAAAATTTAGTTCTATCCATGTCTATATGGAATCACTGCCAATTGATTCAGTATAAATAAATTTAATTCACTGAATAAATAAAAATAAATTTTTTGTATATTCTTTTTTTTTTTTTTTTTTTGAGACAGAGTCTGCTCTGATGCCCAGGCTGGAGTACAGTGGTGCAATCTCTGCTCACTGCAAGCTCTGCCTCCTGGGTTCATGCCATTCTCCTGCCTCAGCCTCCTGAGTAGCTGGGACTACAGGCTCCCGCCACCACACCTGGCTAATTTTTATTTTTAGTAGAGACGGGGTTTCACCGTGTTAGCCAGGATGGTCTTGATCTCCTGACCTCGTGATCTGCCCACCTCGGCCTCCCAAAGTGCTGGGATTACAGGCGTGAGCCAACGCGCCCGGCCTTTTTTGCATATTCTTACACATTAAACAAAAATTATTTGGCCACATGTTTTTATTCAACCTCTTGTGCTGGTAATTTGTGTATTAACAAAGAAGATACAGCATTAGTTAACTGTGGAGTAGATTTTAGACAATTAATTTTCTGGTTCTATACCTAAATATGTAAAGCAAGTATACAATGTATGTTAATTCATGGCATTTTAATCAGTAAAGTATAACAATAATAAGATATTCAATATTCCTAAAAACACTAGACATTTAAATATAGCATTTGATAATTATTGCTTGACATATTCATTATTTATAAATAATAACAAATAGGAATATAATATATTTGTTAAATTTTTAAAAAGAAAAATATTTACTTGTAATCACTTGATGAATTCAGTCCATTAAGTACTGATATGGTTTGGCTGTGTCCCCATCCAAATCTCATCTTGAATTCTCCCATGTTGTGGGAGGGAACTGGTGGGAGGTAATTGAGTCATGGGGATAAGTCTTTTCTGTGCTGTTCTTGTGATAGTGAATAAGTTTCACGAGATCTGATGGTTTTAATAAGAGACACTCCCCTGCACAAGATCTCTCTCTCTTTGCCTGCTGCCATCCATGTAAGACATGACTTGCTCCTCCTTACCTCCTACAATGACTGTGAGGCTTCCCCAGCCACGTGCAACTGTAAGTCCAATTAAACCTCTTTCTTTTGTAAATTGCCCAGTCTTGGGTATATCTTTATCAGCAGCATAAAAATGGACTAATACAAGGACCTTGTAAATTAATGTTTACTATTTCGCACTTTGTTTCCTATTTGTCTGACCTCCTTCACTGAGGTCTTATTAAAACTTTTCACCAATGGTTAAAGTAGAAATAAATATATGGCAGGCGTAAGTGGGTCAATACTGGAGAAAATGGAAATAGCATTTAATAGCATAATTATTCTGATGTATACTATAGAAAATCCTCTTTTTATATAGAGTTAAATATCTCTTCCAGAAAGCCCCCTCCAATCAATGTAACATTTCTCAGGACTCAGTTTTTTAAATAATTTCCTTAATGCACTTTAGAATCTGGAGTGTTTTGTCTTTTTTGCTCTTATTTTACTACCAGACATTATTCATTGTATTTTTCTACCACACAATAAATCTCAAATAACAACTGCATAATTTCTCAGTATACCTTGAAATATAAGCTCATTTATAAAGAAACATGTTTTCTGTTACCATTGTCTAGAGTTGTATTTGTATATTTGTATATGTGAAAGGCAACCCTGAGTAAAATAACTGAACGCCAGGACTTTTTAAAATAAAAGGATGATTCATTAGAAAATATTAATAATTTTCAGAAACTATAGGGCTTGGCTAAGAAAAGTTGCAATATCAGTTATTAAAAATTTGACATTTGAAATAGTCTTCTGAAATGTTACTTTTAAATATTGAGATAATACTATAATTTACTGTTTTGTGGAAATAATCCTGCCCTAGGCATGAACGGAAAGAAAGTTTCAGAAATATAAGGTTTTTTAGAAAAGACATATCACACTGACAAATGCTCCCTTGATCCATGATGTATGTCCCCTATGGGATAGGGTTCTGGAGAAGTCCCATGTCCAAGGGGGAAAAAAAGTGCTGACTTTATATTAATATTTAACTTATTTTCATTGTGTTAATTGCCTTTAACGAGCTGCATTAAGTTCATTTTTATCAGAGTCCTCAACTTTTCTCCTGCTTTCTCTGAATTTCAGAATTACTAGTTGCTTTCTGTACCCATGCATCCATTCACACAATCTTCCAACAGATAGTTACTGAGTTTCTTAAAGTTCTAGGCATTGTTTAGGTGTGGAGCTTAAAAAGAAAAAAGATGATGTGCACTGGCCTCAGGGAGATCACATTCTCTTGGGGAAGGGAATCAGAAAATAGATTAATCAGTAACTAAATATATTTAAAATTATTTTGGATGGTAATGAATAGTAAGAAGAGAAGAATCAAGATGTGGCAAACCTACTTTTGCTCAAGGTGGTCTTAATATATGTAGTAAAATGATATACTGGCAGCTGTTTTCTACTTAAATAGTGTTATTCTTCCCCTAAACTTCAATAAAATTAACATTAGAGGCCGGGTATAGTGACTCACATCTGTAATCATAGCACTTTGGGAGGCCGAGGTGGGAAGATTGCTTGAGTTCAGGAGTTCAAGACCAGCCTGGGCAATAGGCTGAAACCCTGCCTTTACAAATAATACAAAAATTAGCTGGACATGGTGATATGTGCCAGCTACTTGGGTGGCTAAGGCAGGAGAATCGCTTAAGCCCAGGAGCCAGAGGTTGCAGTGAGCTCAGATTATGCCATTGCACTGCAGTCTGGGCAACGAGAGTAAAATCCTGTCTCTAAATAAATAAATAAATAAATAAAAATAAAATTAACATTAGAGAAAATTTGTCTTCTATATAAACCTTACTCATCAATATTAATTGCATATAACTCTCATTAGCATAACATAAATATCATTATAATCATTCCATGAATTGAATGAATCAATCAGAATAGCTTGCACTTAACTGACATGGGAGAGTCAGGGAAAGAGAGAAAGAAGGGAATAAATAATATAAACAAGTTTTCCTTGAACACTATGTATAGAGTTGTCATTGAGTAAGTTGAGAGTGACTGATGAAGGAGTATATTTATGGGAGAAGGAAAGATCATATTTACATATTAATAGACATTCAAGTAGGGATATTATGTAGGCCATTGGATATATGAGTTGAGAGTTCAAAAGTCATATCTTGGCTGGGGATAGGTGGTATTAAAAGTCATGAAACTGGTTGTAATTACTTATGGAGTGAGTATAATTAGGAAAGAGTATAGATCCAGGGACTGAGCCCTGGAGCATTTCAAAGTTTAGAGATCAGGGAGAGCAGGAAGAAGCAGTAAAAAAATAAAAATAAAAAAAAAAAGAATGAGGATATCACAGTAAATGAAAAGAGTAAGGAAGGAGGTGTTTTGAAGCCAACTGAAGAGAGCACTTAAAGGGAGTAAGGGAATGATTGTGATTGTTGTATATTGATTTTAAATCCTGCAGTTTTACTTGTTTATTAGTCTAACAGGATTTTTTTTTTTTTGGTGGCATCTTTAGAGTTGATGTTGTTTATCTTTAAAAAAATAAACTTAGTTTCGTTAATCTTTCATACTGTTTTTCTAGTCTCTATTCAATTTATTTTTGCTCTAATCTTTACGATTTCCTTTCTTCTGCTAATTTTGGGATTTGTTTCTTTTCTAGTTTCATGATGTGCAAAGTTAAGTTGTTTGAGATCTTTCTTTTTGCTATGTGTAGGCATTTATTGCTGTTAACATCCCTCTTAGAACAGCTTTAGGTGCATACAATGTTTTATTTTGTTTGTCAATTTTCACTTATCTCAGACTTTTTAATTTCTCTTTTAATTTCTTTATTGTTCAGAAGCATATTTAAATTTCCATTTATTTTTGAAATTTCTAAAATTTCTCCTGTTATTTTTAGTTTCATAATATTGTGGTCAGAAAATATACTCAATATAATTTAAATCTTGTTTTGTGGCCCAACATTGAATCTATCCTGGAAAATGTCCTGTGCACATTTAAGACAAATATGTATTTCATTGCTGTTGGATGGGATGTTCATATATCTGTGAGTTCCATTTGGTCTAAAATGTAGGTTAAGTGTCATGTTACCTTATTGATTTTCTTTCTGGATGATCTGGCCATTGCAGAAAGTAAGGTATTGAAGCTCTCTAATATTATTGTATTACAGTCTACCTCTCCCTTCAGATTTATTAACATAGGCTTTATATATGCAGGTGTCTAATGTTAAGTGCATATATATTTATAATGTTATATTGTGTCGATAAATTTATTGCTTTACCAATATATAATGACCTTCTTTGTCCTGTCTTAAAGTGTTTGACTTAAAGGATATTTTATCTAAGATAAATATAGCTTCATATGTTCTCTTTTGGTTTCCATTGGAACGGAAAGTATTGTTTCATCCCTTTACTTTTAGTTTATGTGTGTCCTTACAGGTGAAGTGAGACTCTTGTAGACAGCACATATTTGAGTCTTGTGTTTTAACTATTCAACCACTCTAGATATTTTGATCAGTGAACTTGATACATTTCCATTCAACATAATTATTAATAAGGACATACCACTATCATTTTTAATGGTTTTTTTGGGTTCTTTTTTTTAAGAGATAGGGTATCACTCAGTCATGCTGGCTGCTGTGATGATAGCTCTCTGCAGCTTCCTGCCTCAGCCTCCCCTTCCTGAGTAGCTAAATCTACAGGTACATGCCACTATGCCCAGCTAGCAACTTAATTTAGATCACAGAAACACCTCTACACTTTTATTCTACCATTCCCCCACATTTTAAAATTGTAATGTCACAACTTACATCTTATACTGTGTATTCTTTAACAAATTGTTGTAGCTATTATTATTTTAATAGTTTTGTATTTAACCTTTATACTAAAGATGTACGTGATTTACCTAACCATCACAGTGTTAAAGTTTCTGAATTTGACTGTGTAATTACTTTGACAAGTTGAGTTTTATACTTTCACATGTTTTGTGTTACTAATTAGCATATTTTTCTTTGAGCTTGAAGAACTCCCTTTAGTATTTCTTCTAAGAGATGTCTGGTGGTGATAAACTCCCTCAGCTTTTATTTGTCTGGAAAAGTCTTTATTTCTCCTTCATTTCTGAAGGACACCTTTGTTGGGCACAGTGTTTTTGTTTGGCAAGTTTGCTTTCTTCAGCACTATGAGTATATCATTCCTTTCTCTCTTGGCCTTTAAGGTCTCTGCTGAGAAATTCACTTTCAACCTCATTAAAACTCCCTTATAGGTTATTTCATTAGTTCCTCTTGCTGCAGTCAGGATCCTCTCTGTCTTTGGTTTTTGACAGCTTGGTTAGAATACATCTTGGTGTAGTCTTGTTTGGATTGAATCTGATTGGAGACTTTTCACCTTTCTGTATGTGGATATTTATATCTTTCTCCAAATTTGAAATGTGTTATGCTATTATTTTTTAAAATAAGGATTCTATCCTTTTATCTGTCTCTTCTTCACAAACTTCTATAATTCAAACAATTTTTCTTATTCTGCTGTTTCATAAATTCCATAAGTTTCTTTATTTCTTTTCATTCTTTTTCCTCTGACTGTAGATTTTCAAATAATGTCTTTGAGCTTACAGATTCTTTATTCTTGATCAATTATGCTTTTGAGGCTCTCCATTGCTTTTTCCACTTCATTATATATTTTAGCTCCAGAATTTTTGTTTGATTTGCTAAGTAATTTCAATTACCCTTTTAAATTTCTCATTTTCATCATGTACTGTTTTTCTAATTTCATTCAATTGTTTTTCTGTATTTTTTGAATTCCACTGATCTTGCTTAAAATAATAATTTTATATTCTTTATTTGACAGTTTGTATACATCAAGGCTAGCCTGGTGCCTGAGTCCAGAGGAGTGACTTGAATCCTTAGTCAATAGGATTCAGTTTGGCACCAAAGGTCTACTGGGACAGTCTTGGGCCCTGGGTCAGCTGGAGAGTGTGGTTGCAGGGATACGCCTGGCACTGAGCAGGCCTGGAACCTGTGTCCATGAGTACACTCCTGGTATTTGAAGCCAGATTTGCCTACCTGGTGCTGGAGCTGCAAAGGCTGGCTTGGAGATGGATGAGTCTGGATCCTGAATTTGCAGGGGCCATCCTGGAGGCTGAGTCTGCATGTGCCAGCCTGATTACCAGGGCTGCAGGAGCTGGCTACGTGCTGGGGCAGGCCTGAAGCCTGGGGCCATGGTGGCCAACCCAGTACTGGGGTAGTCCGGGACCTGGGGGTCACTGAGGCTGGTCTCATCCTAGGGCGTGCCTGAAGCCTGAATTTGGGGGAAGCAGCCTGATACTGGGATGGGCCCCAAATCCAAGGCTGTTGGGGCCTGCCTTGTGCAAGGGTTGGTCCACATAATTAGGCTGCTGGAGTCAATCCTGGTGCCGGGTAGACCTGGAGCCTGTTTCCTTAGGGCTGGTCTGCAGGCTAGATTCATGGTACCAGCGCTGCAGAAGAGGGCCTGGTGCTGAAATAGGCCTGAATCCTGTGGCTATTGGGGTTAGTACAATTCTGGGGGTTAGGGTTAGGCCTGTGACTGCAGGATCTGGTCTAACAATGGGATGGGACTGAAGGCTCAGTCTTCAGGAGCCAACCTAGATTCTGGGCCTGTGAGCTCCTCCTCAGTGCTGAGTTTTACAGGAGCAAGCCCATTATTGGGGTCTGAAGCATAACCTAGTGCTCACTTCCCTTTGCTTCCCCTATTTAACAGTAACTCTTCATGTTATGTTGCCTTGGTTTGTTGGAGGGGTGATATGAGCAAAGTAAAATTGTAATTTTTACATTCTCAATTTATGTTTTCTTATTTTCATGTTACATCCAGGTTCTGTATTCTCTTATCTGGTTTTCTTAGCTCTTGTGAAGGTATTTTTACAAATAGATAGTTGTTCAAATTGATGGGGAATGAGAGCTGGAGAGCTCTTGCTGACATCTATTCCCAGCTTTGTCTTTTCTATACTTCTAGTTTATGAATTTGTTTGTTTTTAACTGTAGCTTCTAATAATGATTTTGTATCTGTTATTTGGGGCATCACATAACAACAGACTATCACATTTTGCAAACTAAACATATGATTTGTCATATCTTAAAATATCCATATTTTCTTATTCAAGTAACTCCTTTTAGTGAACAAAGAAACAAGCATTCCCTCTCATTAATTTTAGTCACTTATGCTTGAAAGATGCCATGGCCATTTCTACATCCCTATAAGGTAGACTAAATTGTATAGCTTTATATGAATTATATAGTTCAAGAATTTTATTTTAGTTACATTCACAATATAACAATAATTTGGTTTAGAAATTCCTTGAACTATAATAATAAATTATGTTTGGAATGCTTTTATGGATTTCAGTTAATAGAACTGAAAACTTGTTATTGAAATAAATACTGATTTCAAAGCCATTACATATAATAGAAATGATTTTAAATAAACAGATATTTGAAGAGCACTTAACATGTTCAAATACCAAATCCTAGTACTATATTGTATATAATGATTGTCACCACATATCTCCATATTTTTGTTTTCTTTAAAAAAGTTAGAAACAACATTTCCAGTCTGTAGTTTACATTCATTTTATTACTCTCTACTTTTGTGGGGAAGTGTTTGGGAGGAGGATATTTTGAGATCTCTAAGATTATTCTCTTTCACCATTATATTAATCTTTTCATAAGAAAACTAATTCAGAACAATCAAAAAAAATTTGGCACATATGGACTTCAAAAAAAAATTTACAGAAGCCAAAAAAAAAAAGTCAATTAACAGAAAAAAAGTCCAAGACCATTTTACACACACTGGGGCTTATCAGAGGGTGGAAGGTAGGAGAAGGGAGAGCATCAGAAAAAATAATTGGTACTAGGTTTAATACCTGAGTGATGAAATAATCTGTACAACAAACCCCCATGACACAATTTCACCTACATAACAAACCTGCACATGGACCCCTAAACTTAAAAGTTAAAAAAAGAACATTAAGTAAAAATAAGATCATTGTGTTCACTTAAATGTACAAAGTTCTTTGCCTAAAATTAACCTTTAAATTTATTTTCTTTTACATCTTTTTCCCCTTCTGTTTTATACCATATTTTTATCTCTTCCTTTTCTGTAGAATTGATTGCATCTATTGCCTCATTTCCATTTTCTATGCCATGCAATGCCCTATTTCCTGATATTAATAACTGCGACCTAAACTCTTGGTAAAATCTCCAAAATGACCTCTCTGTCTTCAGAAACCTACTCCCTCCTCATTAATCTATCTATTGTACAACATCAGAGACCCTTTCTTTAACAACAGGTAGATGATAACATTCCTCTTTTTGAAAAACTTCAAGAAAAACTCTTCAATCTTGCATTCAAGGATTTTTTCCTATTTTGCCCAAGCCTACCTTTTTAGGTTTAGCTCATTTTACATCTTCCAATGCAATATGCTTCTATCTAAACGAGTAGGTTTTCCTTGTGAATCAGCATTAACACTCTCACGTCTGTGATTCTAGCAGTTCGTTCTTGCACTGCTACACAGAAATGACTCAGAGTGGGTAATTTATAAAGAAAAGAGGCTTAATTGACTCATGATTCTGCATGTTCTACAGGAAGCATGGCAGCTTCTGAAAAGGTCTTAGGAAACTTTTAATCATGGCAGAGGGGGAAGGGGAAGCAGGAAACTTTCAATCATGGCCAGAACAGGAGGAGGAGAGAGGGGGTGTATAAGCCACACACTTTTAAACAACCGGATCTCCTGAGAACTCTATTAGATAACAGCACCAAAGGGGGAAATACACCACCATGATCCAATCACCTTCGACAAGGCCCCACCTCCGACGTTGGGATTTACAATTCGACATGAGTTTTAGGCAGGGATGCAAATCCAAACTGTATCAGTGACCTTGCTCAAGCTTTACTCTCCTTTCTCAGTGACTTCTGTCAAGCCGTGCTATACTTTTAAGGCACAGCTTGATTTTTACTTCCTATAAAAAGCTCATAAATTATAAATATAATGAGTATAGCTACTTATGTCAGATTGACTGTGTTTATAACTGGATTCTCCATTTACTATGTGTATAAGGTTACAAAAATCACTTATTTGCTGTAAGTAAGTAAGATGCATCCAAATTATTCAAGGAGAACTTGAGGAAAAGAAAGCAAAATTTTAGAATGCTTTGTTGTAAGTTTTAAAGTTTGTTTACAAAAGAATAATTTGAAATAATGAATTATTTAATATAATACAAAAATATTATACAGGAATTCTGTAGGAAATTACATTTGATCAATGTATAGAATTTTTCCACCAAACCAAAAATTATAAAAACATATATCTCAAAAAGAAATATATTGATATAAGTGAATACTGGCACACAGCCACCAAAAAAATGTTAGCAGAAAATACTCTCAATTTATATGTGCTATACTAGTAAAGCATTCACGGATATAATTATGATGATATCTAAAGTTTGTTGATATACATAGATAACATGCTAAGTGCTTTACATAAATTATATCACTTATTCTCACAGCAACCTTATGAGGCAGTACCATTATTATTCCCATTTTATAGAGAAGGGAAAGACAGCTTGGGAGAATAAACTTGTTCAAGTTTATGCAGCAAGTTAGTATCCCGAAGCCAGGATTCAAACCTACTCAGGCTCACTCCAGGGTCTATCTTTTTAACTACAATGCTCTTCTTTGTCATCGTGACAGGAAAATAAAATATTTATTAAATGTTTCCTATATTCTGGATGTTATACTAAAGTGCTTTATGTATCTAATATTATTAATTTTCTAAATGATCAGAGTAGGTACTAGTTAGGTCTTGGTTTGCAGGAGAGGAAAATGAGGCCTTGTGAGATGAACTTGCCTGATATCACATAGCCAGTTAGTGGTGGAATCAAGGTTCAAATGCATCTAATCTGACCCTAGAGCCCATAATGTAAACATACTTTACATTGACTCTAAGCCATAAAGCAAGATCAATATAAGATAAATTTAGATGAATTTATTTACAGTATGCATAAGCAAATACTTTAGAATACAGTAAATAATACATTAAGATATCCCAATGTCAAATTCATGCATGCAGTAAAACAAAATGGTTCAGTGAATATCTACTCACAGAATCACACCAACTAATATCATAAATAAGTAAAATATAATAAAACTAAGTACAGTAGTAAATATATTTACATAATAAGCAACATGTTTGAAATGTAACAAAATTATTTCACTTTTATTTTTAAAACCTAAAGAAAATCTTAATTGTTAAAAATAAATAAATTATCATTAACCTCAAAGTCTAAAAACCCATGATCATTGCTAGCATCCAGATAAATTCTGTCATTATTGCTGCTCAATGTATTTGAACTTGAGTCATCATTTTTCCAACAGCTATAAATCATATTTTATACCACAAAGTGTATTACTAAGGCAATTCAACAGCCATGCAGACAAAGAAAGAAATGCTATATATTTCATTTTGGGCAGTTCTGTTAGAAACAGAGATTTTTATAGCAGGCAAATATCTTTGGTAATGCATAGAATCATGGGGCAAATCAAAGCCTATACCCACTATGGTAACTACCCTACCTGGGATTGTTTACATGACATTGAATTTTTCTTCTGAAACTTCCACATTGCAATACAGGCAATGTTTGCCTGCAAGTGTCCATCCAAGATAGGGACAATGCAGAATATGACAGTAGCTCTGGGTGTCTGGCATTTCTCCTATAATACTCCCAAATTAAGGCATTGAATCATTGGGGGATTTCTTTTTTGGGGGGTGGGTAGCATCTTACACATCATCAAATAGAACTTCTCTAGTTCTCCATTGTCTAATTTTTTTTTATTTGTTTGTTTGCTTTTTGTTTTTTTTGAGATGGAGTCTTGCTCTGTCGCCCAGGCTGGCGTGCAGTGGCACAATCTCAGCTCACTGCAACCTCTGCCTCCCAGGTTCAAGTGATTCTCCTACCTCAGCCTCCCAAGTAGCTGGGATTACAGGCACACGCCACCAGGCTCGCCTAATTTTTGTATTTTTAGTAGAGACGGGGTTTCACCATGTTACTCAGGCTGGTCTCAAACTCCCGATCTCAGTGATCCACCCACCTTGGCCTCCCAAAATGCTGGGATTACAGGCGTGAGCCACCGCACCCGGCATCCATTGTCTAATTTTACGAGAGACAATAGTAGTATCTACCATACAAACTTTTTAAGAGGATTAAATGCATGGGCCCTTCTGTATAGTAAGTATATATAGCATTAGCTAAGAAGGGGATGAAGGTAAAATATGATCAAATATTTCTAAACATTCATTATTATAGTTAATTCATTCTTTTCTGAAACTGCTACTTTTCATATCCTTCCCTATACTTTTTGCCTTAATAAATCCCATTCCTTTCATATTATTTTAAATGTAACTTCCTCAGATTGGCAATAAAAATAAATTAGAACCACACAACTATTGTCTATATCAGCAGCCAACCCTTTCCTTCTCAGCACTCACAATGTGTAATCACATATTTATTCTTGTAATTCCTCCCAATTACAACCTTATCATCACAAAAATATTGATTGCATGTGTTTTCTGCATTACTATATAGTCAGTTCCTAAACTAGCACCAAGGTGAATGTTCCAAGGATACTGATTTAATAATATATTACTTATTATTAATACTTAATCATTTTATTCATTTATTTAATTCATTGTCTATGTTCTTATGCTATGTTCCAGAATAATTTGTGAGCTACAAATCACTTAGAATAGCTGATTTCATTATTTATTCTTTTTTGTTTGTATTGATTTACAAATAATATAGCACTTAATTATTAAAACAACCTCATAAATTAAGAACAATTTTACCGGCTGGGCACGGTGGCTCATGCCTGTAATCCCAACACTTTGGGAGGCTGAGGCTGGTGGATCACCTGAAGTGAGGAGTTTGAGACCAGCCTGGTCAACAAGGTGAAACCCGGTCTCTATTAAAAATACAGGAATTAGCCGGGCTTGGTGGCAGCTGCCCATAATCCCAGCTACTCAGGAGCCTGAGGCAGCAGAATCACTTGAACCTGGGAGGTGGAGGTTTCAGTGAGCTGAGATCATGCCATTGCACTCCAGCCCGGGCAACAAGAGCAAAACTCCATCTCAAAAAAGAAAAAAAAAAGAAAAAAAAAGAACAATTTTACCTACATTTCACTGATGAGGAAGATGAGGCTTTGCAAGATTAAAGAACTAGCCCAGGGATACACGATGAAGAAATGGTGAGATCAAGACTTAGACACAGAGTTTCTCTTCCAGTCAAGGTGGAGTAATAAGGCATGAATATACCTTCCCATCTGAAACATCTAAATACCTAGAGAAAATATGCAAAAAAGCCCTGTTACTGGACATTGCAAAACAACCAAAATGGTGGCAATGATCATAAAGATGATCAAGAGTATGATCTTTGAATGAAGGTAAATAAATGAGGTGAGACCTGAGATCACTCCAGCTGACTTACTGAGGAGAGTTTCCAGTTCACTTCATAGGCAAAGGAAACACATGTGGAACTTCACAATCTTACTGAGTGTCTTAGTCTGTTTTCTGCTTCTATAATGCAATATTATAGACTGGATAATTTCTAAAGAACAGATGTTGATTTGACTCATCGTTCCGGAGACTTGGAAGTCTATCTGGTGAAGACCCTCTTGCTGCATTATAACATGGCAAAAAGGCAAGGGAACACATGAAGTGGGGAGAGAAACAGGGATGAAGTTATTCTTTTATCAGGAGTCCACTCGCATGATAACTAACCTGTTCTCACAATAATGGCATTAATCTGTTTACAAGGGCAGTGCCCCCGTGATCTAATCACTTCTCAAAGGTTATACTTTTCAACACTATTACAATGGTAATTGAATTTCAACATTAAATCTGAAGTGGATCTTTGGAGGGGCCTTGGAGGAGACATTCAAACCACAGAATTCTGCTCCTGGCCCTCCAAAACGCAAGTCCTTCTCACATACAAAATACATTCATTCCATCTCAACAGACTCCAAAGTCTTAACTTATTCTAGCACGGATCCAAAAGCCCAAAGTCTAGATCTTTGTCTAAATCAGACATGGGTGAGACTCAAGGCCTGACTCATCCTGAGGAAAATTCCTCCAGCTGTGAGCCTGTGAAATGAAAGCAAGCTATCTGCTTCCAAAGGACAATGGTGGGACAGGCAAGGAATAGACATTCCTATTCTGAAAGGGGAAAATAGGCAAAAAAAGAGGGATAAGTGGTAACAAGTCAGTCCAAAACCCAACAGGGAAAACAACATTAAATTTTAGATCTCCAGAAAAACCTTGACTCTACGTCCTGCTTCCTGGATACACTGGGGTAGGGGTGGAATCGGGGCCCCAAATCCTTGTGCAGCACCACCCCTATGGCTTTTCTGGGCTCTCAGTTCATGCTTCAGCTCTCTTGGGTTGGAGCTGCATGCCAGTTGTCCTACAGTTCTGTGGTCTTGGTGGAGGTCCCAACTTCCATAACTTCGCTAGGCATTGCTCTAGAGAGGACCCTGTGTGGTCACTGTGACCCCACCTTTTCACTCAGCATTACTCTAGTAGAGGCTCTCCGCAGTGGCTCTCCCTCTGCGACAAGCCTCTGCCCTCAGGTTGTTCATGGCATCCTTTGAAATCTAGGTGGAGGAAACTATTCCCCAACAACTCAAGCATTCTGTGTGCTTGCAGACTTAATGCCATCTGTATGCTGCAAAGGCATATGACCTATACCCTCTGGATAACTGAGTTTAGAAGACAGAGCTGGGAGTTCAAGGAGGCCAAGGGTGTTACAGTTCATAGGGCAGAGTGAAAGAGAGGAGTTTCACAGCAAGCTCTCCACAGTCCTCAGAGAGTCCTCTTCAGGTTGTCAGCTGAGATCAACAGATGCACGTGAGGAAACTACACGAAGTTAGGGAAAGAGTCTCCTACCATGAGCAGAGAGAACAATCTCCAGGACTGACAGAATTGAAAAGACTTCATGTTCCCAACAGCCATGGAAGAAAACTTGACAATACACAGGGTGCTGCCAAGATTAGTCAGAAGGATATTGCTCTAGTATTGGGAAAGACATAGCTTCAGATCAAAGGCTGCTCTGGTCCTGTGTAACAAAGCTTAAATGCTGGCACAGAAAGAATCATGTGTTTCCAAGTAGCTTATTTGTGTGCCAGAAAAAAATAAGCCCAAATAAAACACACACACACACACACACACACACACGCATATGCATACATGCATGCACAATCATCATAAAATTCACATTATTCGCCATCCAGTCAAAAATTGCCATCCATAGTGAGGAGAAAAATACGATTAAAACCGACCCAGAAATAACAGGCTTGTTTTGGGAAATTCGTTGTGTGTGGTTTTGGGGGGCAGAAATTGACAAGCTGATTCTACAGTGCATATGGAAATTAAAAGGACCTAGAATAACCAAAACAATATTGCCATAGTAAAACAAAGCTGGAATACTTATGCCACCTGATTTCAAAACTCATTATAAAGATACAGTGTGGTACTGGTATAAAGATAGACACACAGATCAATGAAACAGAATAGGAAGCCCAGAAAAAAACCTACACATTTGGTTAACTGATTTTTTACAAATGTTACAAGACAATACAATGAATAAAATTATTCTTTTCAGCAAATTGTGCCAATATAACTCTCTATCTACAGGCAAAAATTGAAATACAACTCCATATAAAAAATTACTTAAAATGGTTCACAGACATAAATGTAAAACCCCAAAATTTAACACTTTTAGGAGAAAGTCTATGTGACCTTGATTTAAGGAAAGATTATTTCTAAATCAAAAGCACATCATAAAAAAAATCCATAAAAGTTAAACTCCACAAATTGGGATTCATTAAATTTAATTTCTGCTCCTTAGAAAACACTGCTACATTATAAAAAGAGAAGACATGCACAGGAGGAAAATTTTTGACACAGAAAACAATTGAACTCATGGAGATAGAGAGGAGAAGGCTGTAACCAGAGGGTGAGAAGGATAGTGGGAGGGTGGCACGAGGTTGGGAATGGTTAATGGGTGTTAGCGGTGGAAAAGATCCGAGTTACCTGTGGCATATCCGTATCTGTCCGCAGCAACTTCGGTCCTTGTCTCCTCAGAAGAAATAATTTGACCGAGGGGCATAAGACAGGCGAAGGGGCCGAGGCAAGTTGCAGAGTAGGAGTGAAAGTTTATTAAAATGCTTTAGAACAGTAAGAAAAGGAAGGAAAGGAGAGAGAAGAAGGGTACATTGGCATACTTCCGGGATCTTGCATTACTTCTCCACACTCCTAAGATCTTATTGGGACACTGCTCCTCAGTTTCAGGTGTGTGTGTGTGTGTGTGTGTGTGTGTGTGTGTGTGTGTGTGTGTGTGGTTTTTTTTTTAATCTATTAGGAGATTGCCTTTCCCTGACACTGGCTGTAACCAATTATTACTTTAGAGAAACAGTTAACAACTGACTGACCATCACCTGATGGTCGCCCAATCCTCCTGGTGTGTGTGTGTTTGGAGAACCCTCTCCTGCTCTGCTCATACCTGACTAGCTACCTACTGTAACACGGGGACGAAAAAATAGTTAGAAAGAATGAAAAGACCTACTATTTGATAGCACAACAATTGACTATAGTCAATAATAATTTAATTGTACATTTTAAAGTAACTAGAATAGTATAATTGGATTGTTTGTAACACAAATAATAAATATTTGAGGAGATGGATACCCCATTTTCATGGTATAATTATTACACATTGCATGCCTGTATCAAAACATCTCATGTAACCCATAAATATACCTACTGTGTACCCACAAAAATTAAAACAAAAAATTTTAAAAAGCTAAAAAAACATATAATGTCTCCAAATGCAAGCACATGAAAAAAAGGCTCAAAATTTTTAGCCATTATGAAAATGCAAATCAAAACCACAATGAGATACTGCTACATACATTAGAATGGCTAACATTAAAAAGACTGGCATACCAAGTGTTTGCAAGGAGCAACTAGAACTCTTATACATTGCTGAGGGAAATGCAAAACCATAGAATCGCTTTGAAAAATAATTTTTCAGTTTGGTAAAAAGTTAAACATACACTTATGATTTCACCCAGCCATTCCACATGCAGGTATTTATTAAAGAGAAATAAAAGTGTATATCCACAAAAGGACTTGTACAAAAATATTCATAGTAGCTTTATATGTAATACCTGAAAAACAACTACAATTTCTATCAACAGGTAAATAAACAGCCACAAAAGTGAATGAAACACTCAACAACATTAATGAAACTCAAAATAATTACACAGAATGAAAGAAGTAAGACAAAAAAAAGTACATACTGTATGATTCCATCAACATAAGGGTATAGAAAATGTAATTTAATCTATAGAAAAATCTCCAAACTGCTTTCCACCATGGCTGAACTAATTTGCACTCCCACCGGCAGTGTATAAACATTCCATTTTCTATGCAGCCTCACCAGCATTCACTATTTTTGAATTTTTAATAATAGTCATCCTAATTGGTTTGTGGTGGTGGTATCTCATTGTTGCTTTAATTTCCATTTCTCTGATGATTAGTGATCATGAGTATTTTTTATATGTTTGTTTGTCACTTGTATGTTTTCTTTTGAAAATTGTCTGTTCCTGTCATTTTTAATGGGGTTATTTGTTTTTTGCTTATTCATTTGTTTAAGTTTCTCATAGTTTCTGGATATTAGACCTTTCTCAGATGCATAGTTTGCAAATATTTTCTCTCATTCTGTAAACTGTTCACTTTATTGATAGTTTCTTTTTCTGTGCAGAAGCTCTTTAGCTTAGTTAGGTGCCACTTGTCTATTTTTGTTTTTGTTGCAAATTCTTTTGAAGGCTTTGCCAAAAATTCTTTGTCAAAGCCAATGACTAGGTTTCTTTCTAGGATTTTTGCAGTTTGAAGTCTTACTTTTAAATCTTTAATGCAGCTTGAGTTAGTTTTTGTACATGATTGTATAAGTCTGTTTTCATGGTCCTAATAAAGACATAACTGAGACAGTGTAATTTATAAAGGAAAGAGGTTTAATTGACTCACAATTCCACATGGCTGGGGATGCCTCACAATCATGGTGGAAAGCGAATGAGGTGCAAAGTCACGTCTTACCTGGTGGCAGGCAAGAAAGCTGTGCAGAAAAACTCCCATTTATAAAACCATCAGATCTTATGACTTATTCACTACCATAAAAACAGTGTAAGGGAAACCAACCACATGATTCAATTACCTCCACCTGGCCCTGCCCTTGACATATGGGGATTATTACAATTCAAGGTGAAATGTGGGTGGGGACACAGCAAAACTATATCAATGATAAAATGTAAGTGATATGGCTTGGCTATGTCACCACCCAAATCTCTTCTTGAATTGTAGCTCCTATAATCCTCACATGTCATGGGAGGGGCCCAGTGGGAGGTAACTGAATCACAGGAGCGGGTTTTTCCTATGCCCTTCTCATGATAGTGAATAAGTCCCACAAGATCTGATGGTTTTATAGAGGGAAGTGCCCCTGCACATACTCTCTTGTCTGCCACCATGTAAGACATGCTTTTGCTTCTCCTTCACCTTCTGCCATGACTGTGAAGCCTCCCCAGCCATGTGAAACTGTGAGACCATTAAACCTCTTTTTCTTTATAAATCTCCCAGTCTTGAGTATTTCTTGATAGCAGTATGAAAATGGACTAATGCAGTCAGGGTCCAGTTTTATTCTTCTGCATATGGCTAGCCAGTTATCCCAGCACTATTTATGGAATGAGGTAATGTTTCCCCATTTCTTGTTATTGTTGGCTTTGTTGAACATCAGACAATGGTAGGTGTGTGGTATAATTTCCATGTTTTCTATTCTGTTTCATTGGTCTATGTGTCTGTCTTTGTACCAGTATGATGCTCTTTGGTTACTATAGCCTTATGGTATAGTTTGAAGTTGGGTAGTGTGATGCCTCTGGCTTTATTCTTTTTGCTTGGGATTGCTTTTGTGATTCAGAGTCTTTTTTGGTTCCATATAAATTTACAATAGTTTTCTTTCTAATTCTGTGAATAACAACTTTCATAGTTTGATAGGAATAACTTTGAATCTGAAAATTCTTTGGGCAGTATGACCATTTTAATGGTACTTAGTCTTCCTATCTATGAGCATGATATGTTTTTCCATTTATTTTGTCAACTCTGACTTCTTTCAGCAATATTTTGTAGTTGTTCTTCTGGAGGTCTTTTACCTCCTTAGTTAGGAGTATTCCTAAGTATTTTATTTTCTTTATGGCTGTTATAAATAGAATTGTATTATTGATTTGACTCTCACCCTGGAAACTATTGGCATATAAAAATGATACTAATCATTTGACATTGACTTTGTATTCTGAAACATTACTAGAATCATTTATCTATTCTAGTAGCCTTTTGGCAGAGTCTGTAGTGTTTTCTAGGTATAGTATCACATCATCATTGAATATAGTTTGATTCTTATTTTCCTATTTGGATGGCTTTTATTTCTTTTCCTTTCCAGAGTGCTCTGGCTAGGACTTCCAATGCTACATTGAATATGAGTGGTGAGAGTGGGCTTCCTTGTCTTATTCTAGTTCTCAAAGGGAATAATTCCCACTTTTGCCCATTCAGTATAATATTGTCCATGGGTTTGTCATAGATGGCTCTTATTATTTTGAGTTATGTTCCTGCAATGCCTAGTTTGTTGAGGGTTTTTGTCATGAAGAAATGTTGGGATTTTATCAAAAGCTTTTTTCTGCATCTATTGAGACTATATATATTTTTAATTCTGTTTATCTGGTGAATCACAGTTTTTGATTCGTGCATGTTGAACCATCCTTGCATCCCTATCCTGAAATTTTCTTTGTTGTGTCTCTGTCACATTTCAGTATTAGGCTGATGCTGACTTCATAGAAGGAGTTAGGAAGGAGCTCTACTCCTCAATCTTTTTGAATAGTTTCAGTTGGATAGGTACCACTTTTTCCTTGTACATTTGGGAGAATTAAGCTGTGAATTCATCTGTCTAGCGCTTTTTTTGGTTGTTAGTTTTCTTACTACGGATTCAATTTCAGAGCATAATATTGGTCTATTTAGGGTTTTCTCCCTGATTCGATCTTAGGAAATTGTTTGCAGAAATGTATACATTTTCTCTAGATTTTAAACTTGTGTTCATGACATTGTTTATACTGTTCTCTGAGGATCTTTTGTATTACTGTGGAATGAGTTGTAATGCCATCTTTGTCATTTTTGTATGTACTTATTTGGGTATTCTGGGTCTTTTTCTTTGTAAATCTAGTTAGTGGTGTATTAATCTTGTGTATTTTTTTTTCAGGAAATCAACTCTTGGTTTCACTGACCTTTTCATAAATTTTTTTGCATCTCAATTCTATTCAGTTATTCTCTAGTTTTAGTTATTTCTTTTCTTCTGTTAACTTTGGGGTGGTTTGTTCTTTTATTATTGTTTCTTTAGGTGCAAAGTTAGCTAATTTGAGATCTTTCCAAGTTCTTAGTGAAGGCATGTAGTGCTGTAGTGCTATACTTTTTTCTTAACACTGATTTACCTGCATCCTAGAGATTTTGGTATGTTATGTCTCTATTTTCATTCATTTTAAATATTTTTTTTATTTCTGCTTTAATTTTGATGTTCACCCAGTAGTTATTGAGAAGCCAGTTGTTTAATTTCCATGTATTTGTATAGTTGTGAGAGATCTTCTTGATATTGATTTCTATTGTTATTGCACTGTGCTCCTTGTGTGTGCTTGGTATGAATTCAGTTTTTTTTTAATTTATTGAGACTTGCTCTATGATTGAGTATGTGGTAAATCGTACAATATATTCTTGTGCAAATGAGAAGAATGTATATTCTGCGGTTTTAGAAAGGATTGTTCTGTGGATGCCTATTAGGTACAATTGGTCAACTGTTGGGTTTAAATCCACATTTTCTATGTTAGTAGTTTTTTTTCTCAAAGGTCTGTTTAATGCTGTCAGTGGGGTGTTGAAGTTTCCCTCTATTATTGGGTGGTTGCCTAAGTCTTTTCATAGGCCATAACGAACCTGTCTTATGAATTCAGGTGCCCCTATGTTGGGTGTATATATATTTAGGATAGTTGTCTTCTTGTTTGATTACCCTCTTTATCATTATGAAATGCCCTTCCCTGTTCTTCTTAATTTTTATTGGTTTAATATCTGTTTTATCTAATATAAAACTAGCAACTCTTGCTCTTTTTTGTTTTCTGTTTGATGGTATGTCTTTCTCTCTCCCTTTACCTTGAGGCTGTGGATGTCATTACATATGAAATGGGTCTCTTGAAGACAGAAGATGCTTGGACCTTGTGCTTTTATGCAGCTGGCCACTCTATGCCTTTTAAATGTGGGCATTTTGCCAATTTACACTCAGTGTTTTTGGATATGTGGGATTTTGACCTTATCGTGTTATTGTTAGCTGATTATTATGTAAACTTGATTGTGCAATTCCTTTACAGTGCCTGTGGGCTATATATTTGTGTGTCTTTGTGGCAGCAGATGCCATTCTTTTGAGTCCATGTTAAGCATTCTCTTAAGAACCTCTTATAAGGTAGATGTAGTTGAAATGAATTCATTCAGCACTTGCTTCTCTGAGAAGGAGTTTATCTCTTTTTCACTTATGAAGCTTAGTGTGGTAGGATATAAAATTCTTGCATGGAATTTTTTTTTATTTAAAAAGACACTGAAAATGGAACCCTAAGTTCTTCTGTCTCATAAGGTTTCTGCTCAAATGTGTGTTGCTAGCCTGATGGGGTTCCCTCTGTATGTAGCTTTACCCTTCTTTTTAGCTACCTTTAAGATTTTTCTTTTGCATTGTCTTTGGTGAATCTGATGACTATTTGCCTTGGGGATGGCAATCTTTTATAGTATCTGTCTGGGGTTCCCTGTATTTCTTGGATTTGAATGTCAACCTCTAGCAAGATTGGGGAAATTTTTGTGGACTATATCCTCAAATATATTTTTCAAGTTGTTTATTCCCTCTGCTTTCTCAGGAATGCCAATGAGTTGTGGATTTGCTGTGTTTACATAATCCAATATTGCTCAGAAGTTTTTAAATTTTTTAAAATTCCTTTTTCTTGATTTTTGTCTGACTGAATTGATTCAAGGAACCAGAAATTGAGCTTTGAGACTCTTTCCTCAGTTTAGTCTATTATGCTATAAATACTTGTCATTGTATTATAAAATTCTTGTAGTAAATTTTTCAGCTCTAAATGTTCAGCTTGGTTCTTAGAATGGCTCTTGTATTATTTTACTGGATTCTATGGATTCCTTGGCTTGGGTTTAAACTTTCTCCCAAATCTCAATGAGCTTCCTTGCTATCCAGATTCTGAATTCTATGTCAACTATTTTGGTCTTTTCAGACTGTTTAATAAACCTTGCTGGGGAGCTAGTGGACTCATTTTCACGTAAGGGTACACTCTGACATTTGAATTGGCAGAGTTCTTGTGCTGAATTTTTTTCTCCTCTGGGAAGGTTGGTGTTTCATTAACTGTGGTGTAAGTCAAGTATAGTCAGATGGCTTTATTTCTGGATGATTTTAAAACAGAAAAATTTCCCCTGACCCCTTCATGGTGAGGGGAACTGGAGTGTGGGCACTGGGGCTAGCTGGCCACTTTGGCCAGCTTCACTCACTCAGATCTACTGTGCTCCACCCCTCATGGGAAGGCAAGTGGAGCTGAGCCAGTGCAGGAGCCACAGCAAGAGCTGTTGGGCACTAGTAGGAGCAAAACTCCTTGCGGGTCCCAAGGCAGTGTCTTGGCGGGGAGTACTTGTGACACCCGAAGCCCCAGAAGGAATGTTACCATCAGTGATCTTTTAGCTTTGCCATCCACAAATGGCTTAAGTGCTCAACAGCTTAGTGGATTCTCTGCCTTTTCATGAGGGCAGATGGTTAGTGTGAACAGCCTTCTGTATCTCAAGCTCTTATTCAGCATCCAGAAAAAATCAGGTCACATGAACAAATCAAAGGATAGTAAATGTAGGATATTTTATTGCCAGTGGAAGTGGCTTTCAGTGGGAAGGGGAGGTGGAAAAGGGATGGAGTGGGAACGTATTCTTCCTCTGAAGTCCCACCATCTCCAGCCAGACTCTTCTCTGAAGTCCTGCTGTCAAGCCATTTCTCTGAAGTCAAGCTCCTTCTCTATGACATCCATCTGCTTCTCCTCTCAACATCCAGATGCTTTTTCTTCTCTGCCAGCTGGTTCAGGGATTTTTATGGGTACAAGATTGGGGGTGGGGTGGGCCATGGGTGGTTTTGGAAAAGGCAACATCTGAGTGGGAAAACAGGAATGCATGTTCTCAGTTTGGGCTGTGGTTCCAAGCTTGAGGGTGGGACTTCACCAGGGACCCCACCATTTTCTGCCTAGAATTTCTCTGTCTCCTGTCTCTATCATTCTCAGAGGGCCAAGGCTCAGTGCAGGGTCTTTATCTGTGGCTGAATTCTTGCCCTGGATCTCTCAGCATGGTATATTATCGAAGTATTTTTGTTGTTGTAGTTTGGGCTGTGATCCAGTAGATGACACTTAAGAGTAATGGCTGGTAGAGAGGCTCATACTCAGCCATGTGGTTTCTTGGTATTTCCTTGCAAATGCAGATATATTCTGTGGTGTAGCATGGAGACTAGTGACCCCCTCACCAGGTCTACTTCTGGGCATTGGGGGAGCTCCCTCCAATCACTGGAACTGTACTCCTATTTATTTTGTTAAATATTTTAGGGTACAAGGTTCCTTCAGGCCAAGGCCATGGCAGGGAGTCAGGTCATACATTTTCTGAGCTGGCCCTGTGGAGGAAGGCAGGTGCTGCTCCTATAGCAGCCCAGGAGCTTATGTGACTTACCACTTCCAGTCCTCTGAGAGTGTTGGCTCCTCTCCTGTTCAAATGACAGCCACAGATCTTGGCTTCATACACTCATGCTATGTACCATACTCCTAGGTCAAGCTCAGGCTTTTTGTTTTCTCCCCAGCATAGGGGCAGCAAAAGCAGGAACAAAGGTGGTAGTAGTCCATCTTTTATTTATTTCTCTTCCTTTCTGCCTTCATTTGGGTTAATTGAACATTTTTATTTCATTTCATGTTTTCTATTTACTCATTGTGGATATATTTAAACATTTATTTCTTGTCCTAGGGTATATAGCATACATTTAAATTGATATCAGTCTGCCTTCAAATAAAATAAGACCAATTTTTCATGTTTTGAAGCTGAGGCTGTTTCTATTTCATCAATCTGAAGATAATTCAGATGGAAAAATAAGAATTTGTGAGTAATTTTTATTTGTCTGAAGCAGGTACAACTATTTCTGATTTTTTCTCCATTATTCTTTCTTCTATAATGTAGACATAATAACTGAAAATACAATGGACATTTTACTGTAACAAGAAACCAAACCACTAAGTAAGGTTGTTATGAATAAGAAAATAGAAGAGTAATTTTGATGAACAAAAATATAATACCAGAACTTTTTCACCTATCACCATACATTTGGTTGTTTGAGTGAAAAAAAAACCTTGCTTATTAAGCAAGTATATTTCAGAATTTATTTTATGTACAGTAGCATACAAACAAACCTCACACACAGATACTACTGTTTGCCTTTTGCAAATGAAGACCTAATCAAAAAAGAAAATTACTTTGCTCATTGTTACACATTTTAAAAATATGAGCTGCAATTTAAACCAAAACAATTTTATATTTCTTGTACACACAACTTATCTCAGGCTTGCAACTTTCAATAGTTTAATGCCTGTACTAATTCCAAAGTCTTCAATAAAATTGCTTTTTACTGCATTTTAATTTTTATACAGGTTAATTCCCTTGCTATTATTTTTTTTAATTTCTGGTGTTTCTTATAATTATTATTTGATATTAGAATTAAATTATATTATTTCAACTAGGAACAAGTCTACACACATCAATTTTACTAGATAGATAAAATCAACCAATTCAATCAATTTAATCAAGATTCAAACCCAAGGCAGTATGGCTTAAGAATTTTTTCTATTAGCCACTCTACTATGCTCCTGGTTAGTCCATTCTTCCACTACTATAAAGAAATACCAGAGACTGGGTCATTGATTTTTTAAAAAATATTTAATTGGCTAATGGCTCTTCGAGCTATACAGGAAGCATGAGGAGGCTTCAGGAAGCTTTCAATCATGATGGAAGGCAAAGGGAGAGTGAACACGTCACCTGGCCAAAGCAAAAGGAAGAGAGAGATGGGGGGAGGTGCTGGACACTTTTAAACAACCAGATCTCATGAAACTCACTCACCATGATGAGAACTTACCAAGGGGGATGGTATTAAACTATTCATGAGAAACCACCCTCTGATCTAATCCTCTAGCACCAGGCTCCACCTCCAGCACTGGGGATTACAATTGAACATGAGGTTTGGGAGGAAACACAGATCCAAACCCTATCATACTACCCCTATCCCCTCCCGAATCTCTTGACCATCTCACATTGAAAAATATAACCATACCTTCTCAACAGTTCCCCAAAATCTTAACTTATTTGAGCATTAACTCAAAAGTCCATATTCCAAAGTCTCCTCAGGGACAAGGCTAGCCCCTTCTGCCTGTGTACACGTGTTTTAATCCATTCTCACACTGCTAATAAAGACATACCTGAGACTGGGTAATTTATAATGAAAGGTTTAATTGACTCACAGTTCCACATGGTTGGGGAGGCCTCAGGAAACATACAATCATGGTGGAAGGGGAACCAAACATGTCTTTCTTCACATGGTAGCAGGTAGGAGGACTGCCTAGCAAAGGGGAAAAAGCCTCTTATAAAAACATCAGGTCTCATGAGTATTCACTCACTATCATGAAAACAGCATGGGAAAAACCACCCCTATGATTCAATTACTGCACACCGGTTCCCACCCTTGACACAGGGGGATTATTATAATTCAAGATGAAATTTGGGTTGGGACACAGGCAAAACATATCATTCCACCACTGGTTCATCCTAAATCTCATGTCCTCACATTTAAAAACACAATCATGCCCTTCCAACAGTCCCCCAAAGTATTAACTCTTTCCAGCATTAACCCAAAAGCCCAAGTCCAAAGTCTCATCTGAGACAAAGCAAGTTCCTTCCACCTATGAACCTGTAAAATCAAAAGTAAATTATTTAGTTCCCAGATACAATGGAGGTACGGGTACTGGGTAAATACACCCATTCCAAATGGGAGAAATTGTCCAAAAAGGGGCTACTGGCCCCATGCAAGTCCGAATTCCAACAAGGTAGTAATGAAATCTTAAAGCTCAAAAATGATCTCCTTTGACTCCATGTCTCACAGCCAGGTCATGCTGATGCAAAAGGTGGACTCCCATGGCCTTGGGAAGCTCCACCCCTGTGGCTTTGCAGGGTACGGTCCCCCTCCCGGCTGCTTTCACGGGCTGGCATTAAGTGTCTGCAGCTTTTTCAGGCACATGGTGCCAACCTTCGGTGGATCTATCATTCTGGGGTCTGAAGGATGGTGGCCTTCTTCTCACAGCTCCACTAGGCAGTGCCCTAGTGGGGACTCTGTGTGGGGGCTCCAACCCCACATTTTCCTTCCACATGTCTCTAGTAGAGGTTCTCCATGAGGGCTCCACTCCTGCAGCAAACTCCTGCCTGAACATCTAGGTATTTCCATACATCCTCTGAAATCTAGGCAGAGGTTCCCCAACCTCAATTCTTGACTTCTGTGCTCCTACAGGCCCAAAACCATGTGGAAGCCACCACGGCTTGGGGCTTGCACCCTCTCAAGCAATTGCCCAAGCTGTACCTTGGCCCCTTTTAGCCAAAGCTAGAGATGAAGCAACTGGAATGCTGGGCACCATGTCTCAAGGCTACATATAGCAGGGGTCCCTGGGCCCGGCACACAAAACCATTTTTCTCACATAGGCCTCTGGTCCTGTGATGGGAGGGGTTGCCATGCAGTCCTCTGACATGCCCTGGAGACATTTTCCCCATTGTCTTGGTGACTAACATTAGGCTCCTCTTTTCTTATGCAAATTTTTGCAGCAGGCTCAAATTTCTCTCCAGAAAATGGGTTTTCCTTTTCTTCTGCATTGTCAGGCTGTAAATTTTCCAAACTTTTATGCCCTGCTTCCTCTAGAATGCTTTGCCACTTAGAATTTTTTTTTTTTTCTACCAGCGACTCTAAATCATCTCTCTCAAGTTCAAAGTTCCACAGGTCTCTGGGACCGGGGCAAAATACTGGCTGTCTCTTTGCTAAAGAATAACAAGAGTCATCTTTGCTCCAGTTTTCAACAAGTTACTCATCTCCATCTGAGACCACCTCAGCCTGGACTTTATTGTTCATATTGCTATCAGCATTTTGGTCAAAGACATTCAACAAGATTCTGGGAAGTTCCAAACTTTCCCACATTTTCCTGTCTTCTTCTGAGCCCTCCAAACTGTTCCAACCTCTGCCTGTTACCCAGTTTCAAAGTTGCTTCTACATTTATGGGTATCTTTTTACCCAGTTTCAAAATTGCTTCCACATTTATGGGTATCTTTGCAGCAGTGCCCTACTACTCCAAGTACCAATTTACTGTATTAGTCTATTCTCATGCTGCTAATAAAGACATGCCCAAGACTGGGTCATTTATAAAGGAAAGATGTTTAATTGACTCATGGTTCAACATGGATGGGAAGGCCTCAGGAAACTTAGAATTATGGCAGAAGAGGAAGCAAACATGTCCTTCTTCACATCGTGGCAGGAAAGAGAAGTGCTGAGCAAAAGAGACAAAGCCTCATATAAAATCACCAGATCAAATACTCCCATTCCAACACGGAGAAATCAGCCAAAAGAAGGAGGCTACATGTTTTGTGCAATTCTAAAACCCATCAGGGCAGTAATTAAATCTTAAAGGTTAAAAATAAATTTCTTTTGACCCCATGTCTTACTTCCATGGCACACTGGTGCAAGGGGTGGGCTCCCAAGGCCTTGGATAGCTCTGCCCCTGTGGCTTTCCAAGATTCAGGTACAGTGGCTGCTCTCATGGGCTGGCATTGAGTGCCTGTGGCTTTTCCAGGTGCATGATGCCATCTGTTGGTGGCTTTATCATTCTGTGATCTGGAGGATGGCAGCCCTCTTCTCAGAGCTCCACTAGGCAGTGCCCCAGTAGGCAATCTGTGTGGGCGCTCCAGCCCTATGTTGCCCCTATGCACTGACTTACATATTCTCCATGAGGGCTCTGCTCCTGCAGCAGGCTTCTGCATGGGCATCCAGGCTTTTCCATACATTGTTTACAATCCAGGCGGAGGCTCCCAAGCCTCACCTCTTACGCTCCATGCACCTGCAGGTTTAACACCATGTGAAAGCCACCAAATCTTATGCCTTGTGCCCTCTGAAGCAGTGACCCCAGCTGTACTTGGTCCCCTCTGAGCCATGGCTGGAGATTGAGCAGCTGAGGTGCAGGGAGCTGTGTCCAAAGGCTGCACAGGGAAGTGGGGCCCAGGATCTGGCTCACAAAACCACTCTGTCCTTCTGTTCTCCTGGCCTCCAGGCCCGTGATGGGAGGGGCTGTCTCAAAGGTCTCTGAAATGCCTTCCAGGTCCTTTCCTCATTGTCTTGGCGATCAGAATTTGCCTTCTTTTTAGTTATGCAAATTTCTGCAGCCTGCTTGAATTCCTTCCCAGAAAGTGGTTTTCTCTTTTCTACTATGGCCAAGCTGCAAATTTTCCAAACTTTTATGCTTTGCTTCCCTTTAAATGTAAGTTCCTGTTACACATTATTTATTTGCTCGCCCATATGAGCTTGGGCTGGTAGAAGCAGCCAGGCCACATCTTGAACACTTTGCTGCTTAGATATTTCTTCTACTACACAAAATAAATTATCACTCTCAAGTTGAAAGTTCCACAGATCCCTAGAGCAGAGACACAATGCTGCCAGGTTCTTTGCTAATGCATAACAAAAGTCATCTTTGCTCCAGTTCCCAATCCCTCATTTCCATCTTAGATCTCCTCAGCCTGGACCTCATTGTCCTTTTCAATATCAGCATTTTGGTCACAAGTATTTAACAAATCTCTAGGAAGTTCCAAACTTCCCCTCATTTTCCTGTCTTCTTCTGAGTCCTCCAAACTGTTCCAACCTCTGCCCATTACCCAGATCCAAAGCTGCTTTCACATTTTCAGGTATCTTTATAACAATTCCCCACTTCTCTGGTGCCAATTTTCTGTATAAGTTCATTCTTGCATTGCTAAACTATAGATATACACACACACACACATATATATATAGCTGAGAAGTGTCTTCTCAGCTTCTGTAGAGGCCTCAGTAAACCCACAATCATGGCAATAGGTGAAGGGGGAAGCAGGCACATCTTACATGGCTGCAGCAGGAGCAAGAGAGAGCAAGCTGGGAGGTACTTCACACTTGAAAAGAAACAGATCTCATGAGCACTCACTCACTATCACGAGAACTTTCTGAGGGGGATGGTGTCAAATCATTCATGAGAAACTGTCCGGTGATCCAATCACCTTTCACCAAGCCCCACCTCCAACACTGGGAATTACAATTGAATGTGAGATTTCGGTGGAAAACAGATGCAAAGCATATCACTCCCTTAGAAAGGATACATAATTTTCCCATACCAAGGTCAATAATTTTGTTAAGTAAGGATAAAATTCCACCTGGGTCTGACTCCAAAGACAGCACGGCCTTTGGAGAGGAAAGTAGAAAGACATGGATATTTCATATGTAACTTTTCCATTATTCATTGTATTTAGGTAACCAGTTTCTCATTTTCTAGATATATCTATAGAAGCTATGATAAGCATAGGACTATATGAAGCTCTCAGTGTTAAAACCTGCCAGTAACAAATAAATAAATAGCTCATAGAAACATTGTGGTCTTAGCAGCGAGCTTCACAGTTATGATTGGGAGACTAGAGGCAGTGACTGGTGAATAAATAATGGATCTTTTAAAATGACCCTTTCTATGGTTGAACAGATTCCACCATGTACCACCGAATTCATCCAAAAGTAGAATTCAGTCTGAGGTCAGATAACGTAATTTGGAGGAGTTAATACATTGAAAAAAATATGTCAGGATTCAAAAAAAAGTCATCCATGTGAGGGGAGCATATTAGGTAAAGGAACAGAGGAGGGTTTTGCACGTTTTAATTCTCAAAGGAAAATAAATACAAATGAATTATTAAAGGCTCTCCAGTGTGTGGTTAAGGCACCAACAAGTACGGGAAATTTTAGTTGAATAAAGCTCAACATTATACAGACATATGATGTAGCTTCCAAAAAAGCATGAAAAATTTAGGCTACATTTGCAGGAGTATAAAATAACTGGTGTAATATAGAAGATAGACCTTTCATATTTTCTTAAAACTAACTTTCTTAAGTAACATTGAGGGACAATAAACTGAACATAATTTTAACAGTATGACTTGTAAATTAAAAATATGTATATACATGTGAAACCATAACCACTATAAAAATAATGAACATATCTATTATTTCCCAGTAATTCCTCATGCCTCTTTTAAATCTTTTCCTTTCCTTTCTGCCCCTTCCTTTCCCAAGCAACCATTGTTCTGCTTTCTATCACGACAGTTGCATTTCCTAAAGTTCTTAGTAAACAAATCCAGACAGTCTGTACTATTCTTCTCTCTGGCTTCTTTCACTCAGCAAAATTATTTTGCATTTAATCTACTCCATTGTGTCCGTAAATATCTCATTCTTTTCATTGCTAAACTTTATTTTTATTGTATGAATATACAACCGTTTATCCATAAATATGTTGACGAAAATTTATTTCTAGCTTTGGCTCTTTTAAGTAAAGCTTCTATGAACACTAATGTACAAGTCTTCCTATATACATATTCTTTTATTTTTTTGAATAAATACCTAAGAATGGAATAGCTGAATCAGAGGTAGATATATGTAACTTTTTAAGAATATATCAAAATATTATAAAAAACAATTTTGCCATTTATATTTTTACCAGGAGAGAATTGGAGTTCCAGATACTCTACTTCCTTGCCTGCCAATATTTCTTATTTTCTTTTTAAATTGCAACCATTCTAACAGGAAAGAAGTGGGATGATTTACACATTTATCACATGTGAATGTGGCCATATTACCTTGAAGGAATTTAGAGTAAGCCATTCAAAATATGAGCTGCCATTAAAGTGAGGGGAGGAGGGAGAAAACGGAATGGCCATGGTAAATTCCTTGGAGGAAACACCCTCTCCACGCCATGTGTGCCACCAAAATTAAGCATAGGGAGATGAGGTGTGGGAAGTAACTTTGGGAAGGCTTTTGAGGGTGCAGTAAAGAAATGCCTTCTTTTCTCCATCTTGGTCTTCTCAGCATCTCCATCCCACCCCCGCCCCACACCCCGGAAAAAACATCAGAAATGGTGCTTTATAATGTGTGAGCCACCCCAGGACCATCACTGGCTAGGAGGTGTGCCTGGCTGACCAAAGTAAACTGGACCCGTAGCTCTTCATTTTCCTGAAGAGTGATATATATAGGGAGGCCACGAATCCTAGGTGAGCCCACTGGGAGGCAGTGACATGGCTAAGGTGACCAGAAAAAGACATGTGCCTAGCAGGGTTATAGAACGACTAATCTTAAACATAAAAGTGAAGAAGAAGAAAAAGGCCTAGAGAAGGTGTCAGTGGACACAATCCAATCTAGGCTCATTCTCTTCTTCCTCATGGACTCCCCTCATGACTCCTACCATGCCCTTGCCTTTCACAAGCTCACAAACCCCCTCCTTAGCCTGCACTGTTTCACATGAAGCCTCTGTTCCCATCTAATCCCCACCCTCTTCCTCCAAATCAATGTCCTTCTAGGATCACCATGTTGTCTTCCCATTTACAGAATACAGCCATAAGCGTAAAAATATTTCTTCAAGGGAGTTCAAGAAAAAAAATGTTCTCAAACAAATACCACTCCTTCAAGAAAGCCCACCAGAGAAAGAGGGCGAACATTATTCAGCCATTACCATGAAGTGAATAAGAACTTGAATCAAAATCAGCCAAATATGGACAAAGAGACCCTGAACAATTCCAGTACTTCAAGTAATGATCTGTACAGCCAGTAATTACTGAGCAAGGGCCAGCAGGCTCAGAAATATCTGCTGTACCTTCAAAGGGCTTTGCTGCTGAGAAATAGTCAACCACATTGGGTCTAACCCTTACAACAGTATAGAAGGACGGCGATTACACTAAAATCAACAAGTTGTAAAAAGCTCCTCTTTCTAGAGCATATGTGTGTATCTTTATGTGTTCCCTGGTGTTGGGGAGGGAAGGAAGGAAAGAGGCACATGAGAAGGGAGAAAAGTAGGGTTCTGTAGTGTTGGCAACCAGGCTGGCAAGTCCACAGTTAGCCAGATATTGACGGATAAGAACTGGATCAGGACTGAGCACTGAAGACAAATCTTCTCTTGAAATCTTTATCACACTGGCAAGTATAGGGACTAGGTGTTTCACATTGTGTTTGGGTAGGGGGTGATATCAGGATTTAGAATGGTAGACCTAGATGATAAAATGGTTTGATGTGTGCAGGGTAACAATAACACTCCCCAGTCCTCAACAAAATATTAGCAAAACAAAGCCAACACCATGTCAAAAAGACAATACATAACAATAAAATCGATTTGATACCATGGATGCAAGGATAGTTGAACATGCAGAAATCAATAAATATGATACATCACATAAACAGAATTAAGGACACTCCCCCAAAAAGAGGTAGACAAAGAAATCCCACCCACAGGCCACCTACTTAATAATGGTATTTGATGAGCCCCAGTATATGCTGTAAGCAACTAGCAGTTCTCAGAAGGACCAAATAATACCCTAAGAAAAGTAACTGACAGCATTCTCAAGAACTGTAGTAATGGTGTTTGAGACAACATATCCAACATGTATTAGGTCACTTTCTTTATAAGAAACATGGGGTAAAATTGTGACCTATTAAGGGTAGGGCAGTCAAAAACCTCAATATTTTGTAAGTTTATTCATATGAAATGTACAATATATGCAAATCCATAGTCAGAAAATACATGTGTGGTTATTTATGGTTGGGGTTTGGGTGGGAGAATAGGGAGGCAATAGCTAACATGTATGTGGTTTCCCTTTGAGGTGATAAAAATATTCTAAAATTCACTGGGGTGTGGTTGCATGTATCTTTGAATATATTAAATACTGTTGAATTTTATACTTTTAATGGTTAAATTTCATGATATATGAATTATATTTCAATGAAATGCTCCAAATAAAGAAATAGGGAGGGAGGGGGAATGGGAGGGAGAGAGGATAAAAAGGAAGGGAAGGGAAGGGAAGGGAAGGGATAGGAACACTATCTGGATTATTTTCTAAGACATGTTCACACCCAGTCTTTTATCTGCAGAGTCAGTGCGGTCCAGGAAAGTTCTCACTCATTTCCCCTTCTTTGCAGCTACACACTCTCTTGCTCTGCTCACTGGGATTCCTGGTCCATCTCAACTGCCAGTCATCAGTCACCAACTCCACTCACTTGCATAGCCCCAGCCTCTATAGAGGGGGTCCACTGTACACAGAGGTAAAAAATACAAACCTCCAGCAGGCATCAGGACAGCTTTCAGCCCTGGGACTTGGCAAGTTTACAATAGATCACTAGAGTGGTCAAGAGTGTTGTGCACCCAAAATAATGCAGCAGAGCCAGCTATGCTCTTACTGATAGAAAGCAGGGGGCGTTTTAAGGTAGGGTGAAATGTCAGGCAGGGTGCTGATTAAGTCCAGTAGAGCTGCCTACTCCAAACACTCTGTAACTTTTAGCTGGTAATAATGATGTAGAAATTTCTCAAGCTTATTCACAGAAGTTGTCCTGTACCAGTCCCATCACCACCCATATCCCTCATCATTTTTCCTTTTGGATCTTTCTCCTCACTACAGTGAACTCTGGATTCAGAGCCTTGAGTGCCACCTGGCCTTCAGCTCTCTGAACTTTACGTTTTGTATGTGATCTCATTCCTGGACTCTGGCTCAAGCGGCCCTCCCACCTCAGCCTCCTGAGTAGCTGGCACCACAGGCCCATATCACCTCACTGGGCTAATTTTTAAAGATTTTTGCAGAGATAGGGTCTTACCACGTTGCCCAGGATCGTCTTGAACTCCTGGTCTCAAGTGATCCTCTTATGCCCAGCCCATATTTTTAAATCATTCCCCCAAGAAATCATGTTACTAAAGACATCATTGCATGAATTCAGCTTTATATAGGTGAAGAATTAACTTAATGTTCTTTTTAATGGAAAAATGGAGAAATACAAATTAAAACAATAGTGAGACAACATCTTTACACCCCTAATTTTGATAAAAATGTGAAGATTGATAAAATGTTTGTGAAAGTGCAGGGTATTTATATACATTAATTTCTGAGAAAATGAGTACGTATAGCATTTTTGAAACATAATTTCAGCAATATTTGTAAAAATTTAAAATATTCACACTCTGTCTACAGTAATCAATTTTCTCATTAATATGCTTTTCTTATGAGAAAACACAAATAGATGTCCAATAATTCATGTTTAAAGATGTTGTTTTTAGTTATATTAATCATAGAAGCAAATGGGAAACAACTTGTCTATCAGGAGGAGAATGATTTAGTTAATTATGGCATATACGTACTTTAGAGTGGATATACCATATGTGCTGTCATGGAAAGGTCCTGCACCCATTTTATTAAGTGCTAAGGCAAGTGACAGATCAATATGTTCATAATTACCCATTTATGTTAAAAAAATGCATTTTTATAGTACATCTGTTTCTGAAAAAGTCTAGAATAAGCTTTAAAACAATACACACCAGATTGTTAATTATAGATACCTATGAAGAACGGGCTGAATGTTGAAGCAACTTTGTAAAGTTGAGAATTGTGATTTATCTGTGTTTGCCAATAGTTTTGCAATAAGAATGCATAAGCTACCATCTTCATAATTAAAATATTTAAATACTCCTCGCAACAGAAATAATAGCCATGTTAAAGGATGAATACAAGATGTGGATGAGCACTTGTAGTCTCTCTCATAAGCTGTCACATAGTGGATCTTTAATAAAAGGCAACTATTGTAACTTATTATAACAACCACCATTTCTTGGAGGAGTTTCTGAGAAAGTCAGATTTGCTCTGAAATTCACCAACTTCTTAAAGGGCCTTCCATGTTACAAATGCTTTCAAACATAGAATCACATCTAATTTTCAAAGGATCCTGTAAATGTTAGCAGGGAGTGTTTGCCCCTTTACACTCAATAGCACTTTTCTGCATAGCCCTTTGCAATAACCTCTATAATCTCAACAGGCTGTGAATTTTCTCTTTCCTTCTGATACATGGTTAAAATTTTAACTTATGAGTCTCTGCTACAGTTTCCATGACTGAACTTGCTTGAACACCTGTACCGGTACTATTAGGCAAACTGCAAAATAGGATTTTCCTGTGGGGCTAGGGGAGTGACAGCATTAGGAGAAATACCTACTGTAGGTGACAGGTTGATGGGTGCAGCAAACTACCATGGCACATGTCTACCTATGTAACAAACCTGTACATTCTGCGCCTGTATCCCAGATCTTAAAGTATAATAAAAAAAATTTTTTAAAAGAAGAAAATTGGAAAATTTCTTGAAACAAATATTCAAGGAAACACAGCATACCAAAACTTATGGAATACAGCAAAAGCAGTAAGAGACTTTTATAGCTGTAAGTGTCTACAACAAAAAAAGAAGAAAAGCCTTTAATAAACATCATAACCATGCATCTTAAAGAACTAGCAATGCAACCAATCCCAAAATTAATAGAAGAAAAAAATAATAAATATCAGAGTAAAAATAAATGAGATAAAATGAAGAAAATAATAGAAAAGATCAATGAAACAACAAATAGGATTTTGGAAAACTAAACTGACAAAATTTTAGCAAGACTGACCAAAAAAAAAGAGAACATCCAAATAAAATCAGAGATTAAAAAAAGACAATTCAATTGATACTGCAGAAACTCAAAGGATCATTAGTGGCTACTATGGGCAACTACATGACAATAATTTGAAAAATCTAGAGGAAATTTTAAAAAATTCTAAACTCAAGCAACCTATCAAGATTGAACCAGGAAGAAATATAAAACCTGAACAGGCCAATAACAAATAATGAGATTGAAGCATAATAAAAAAAAGACTCCCAGTAAAGCCCAGGCCACTATGGCTTCACTGCTGAATTCTACTAAACACTGAAAGAAGAATTAATACTAATTATACTCAAACTATTTGGAAAAATAAAGAAAAAGGGAATACTTCCAAACTCATTATATGAGGCAAACATTACCCTGATACCAAAACCAGACAGTCACATCAAAAAAAGGAAAGTATAGGCCAATATCTCTGATGAATGTTGATAAAATTCTTCAACAAAATACTAGCAAACCAAATTCCACAATATATTAAAAATATCATTCCTCATGATAATGTGGGACTTTAACCTGCATTTTTTTTTTTTTTCTTTTGAGATGGAGCCTTGCTCTTGTCGCCCAGGCTGGAGTGCAATGGCATGATCTCGGCTCACTGCAACCTCTGCCTCCCGGGTTCCAGTGATTCTTCTGCCTCAGCCTCCCAAGTATCGGGGATTACAGGCGCCCGCCAACATGCCTGGCATTTTTTTTTTTTTTTGTATTTTTTGTAGAGACGGGGTTTCACCATGTTGGCCAGGCTGGTCTGGACTCCTGACCTCAGGTGATCCGCCAGCCTCGGCCTCCCAAAGTGCTGGGATTACAGGCATGAGCCACTGCGCCCAGCCCTAACCTGCTATTTTTTTCTCTTCCGAGTATCACTGGCAATCAACAATGACCACCCGATTTCACAATTCTTATCATTAATGTTTCTCCCTTTTAAATACCACAGGTATTGCACAAGCCAATACATTCCCTATTACCTGTATCTCATCTCAGCTCATCAAAGGAGAGTGAATAACTTAACTGCACTGTCACAGCAACTCAGGGAATATCAAGGCTCAGCCTACTACCAGAGATTTGCCAGTCAGCTACGAGTGACCAAACTCCATACCTCCATACTCACAGTTGGCTTCCTAGGAACATTCAGGATATCAATTGCCTTAGCATGGGTCCTTAAAAAGGGAACAAGAGAAGGCTATTCTTGTGCAAGTGATTTAATGATGAAGCACTCAGGAGGTACTTGTAAGTAAATGAGGAAAGTTGGTTTAGTTAAAGAAGAAAACCTAGCAAAGATGTGAATTAAGCTAAAGAATAGCTTCGGCTGTATCCCTACGGGACTTCTAAGGAATGAATGACAGCATAGCAGTGTTGCCTTGTGCCCAAGGAGACAAGGCATCTATGTCTTTGCATCAGTATTCCATTGTATGGATATACCACATTTTGTTTATCCATTAATCAGTTAATGAACATGTAGGTTACTTCTGCTTTTTTTGTTATTATGAATGAAACTGCTATTGCAAATACAGCTGCTATCAACATTCACAAACTGGTCTTTGTATGGACATCAATTTCTATTCTCTTGAATTAATATCCAGGAGTGAGATAGGGCTGGGACTTTTTTTGTTTAAATATATGTATTTTTGACATTTTTTAAAATTAAAAAACTGTTTTTCAAAGTAGCCGTATCATTTGGCAGTTTCTATAGAAGTATTTGAGAAATCTAGTTGGTCTGCATACTTGCCATCTCTTAGTTTTATCTATATTTTAATTTCAGCCATTTTTAAGGGTGTGTACTGTTGTCTCATTATAGTTTAACTTTCTTTTCACTAAGAAATAATGATTTTGAGCATTTCTTCATGTGCATTTTGTCATCTGAATATCTTCTTTGGTACAGGGTCTGTTTAAATTTTTTTATTATTTGATTAGGTTATTTATATTCTTGTAATGAGTTGTAAGAATCCTTTATATATTCTGGTTCTTTGTCTTATATAGTGTTGCAAATATTATAACTTTTTGTGCATATTGTGCAATATATATTATGATATGATGGTTGTCATAGGTATTATATTTACATACATAATTACTCCCACAGGACAATGTTATGATTTTTTATTTGAACAGTTGTGCATTTTATTAAAAGAAATTACAAGGAAAATATTAACTTACATTTATCTACATATTTATTATTTCTAATGCTTTTCCCTCATATGTGAAGCACCACATTTCTCTCTAGGGTCAATTTATTCAACATGATGATCTTCCTTTAGCATTTTTTTTTTACCAGCACTCACATTTTATTATTATTATTATTATTATTATTATTATTATTATTATACTTTAAGTTCTAGGGTACATGTACACAACATGCAGGTTTGTTACATAAGTATACATGTACCATGTTGGTATGTTGCACCCATTAACTTGTCATTTACATTAGATATATCTCCTAATGTTATCCCTCCCCTCTCCCCCGACCCCATGACAGGCCCCGGTGTGTGATGTTCCCCTTCCTGTGTCCAAGTGTTCTTATTGTTCAATTTCCACCTATGAGTGAGAACACATGCTGTTTGGTTTTCTGTCCTTGTGATAGTTTGCTGAGAATGATGGCTTCCAGCTTCATCCGTGTCCCTACAAAGGACATGAACTCATCCTTTTTTATGGCTGCATAGTATTCCATGGTGTATATGTGCCACAGTTTCTTAATCCAGTCTATCATTTATGGGCATTTGGGTTGGTACCAAGTCTTTGCTATTGTGAATAATGTCACAATAAACATACGTGTGCATGTGTCTTTATAGCAGCATGATTGATAATCCTTTGGGTATATACCCAGTAATGGGATGGCTGGGTCAAATGGTATTTCTAGTTCTAGATCCCTGAGGAATCACCACACTGTCTTCCACAATGGTTGAACTAGTTTACAGTCCCACCAACAGTGTAAAAGTGTTCCTATTTCTCTACATCCTCTCCAGCACCTGTCGTTTCCTGACTTTTTAATGATCGCCATTCTAACTGGTGTGAGACGGTATCTCATTGTGGTTTTGATTTGCATTTCTCTGATGGCCAGTGATGATGGGCATTTTTTCATGTGTCTTTTGGCTGCATAAATGTCTTCTTTTGAGAAGTGTCTGTTCATATGCTTCACTCACTTTTTGATGGGGTTGTTTGATTTTTTCTTGTAAATTTGTTTAAGTTCATTGTAGATTCTGGATATTAGCCCTTTGTCAGATGGGTAGATTGCAAAAATTTTCTCCCATTCTGTAGGTTGCCTGTTCACTCTGATGGCAGTTTCTTTTGCTGTGCAGAAGCTCTTTAGTTTAATTAGATCCCATTTTTCAATTTTGACTTTTGTTGCCATTGCTTTTGGTGTTTTAGACATGAAGTCCTTGCCCATGCCTATGTCCTGAATGGTAATGCCCAGGTTTTCTTCTAGTGTTTTTTGGTTTTAGGTCTAACATTTAAGTCTTTAATCCATCTTGAATTAATTTTTGTATAAGGTGTAAGGAAGGGATCCAGTTTCAGCTTTCTACATATGGCTAGCCAGTTTTCCCAGCATCATTTATTAAATAGGGAATCCTTTCCCCATTTCTTGTTTTTGTCAGGTTTGTCAAAGATCAGATGGTTGTAAATGTGTGGTATTATTTTTGAGGGCTCTGTTCTGTTCTATTGGTCTATGTCTCTGTTTTGGTATCAGTATCATGCTGTTTTGCTTACTGTAGCCTTGTAGTATAGTTTGAAGTCAGGTAGTGTGATGCCTCCAGCTTTGTTCTTTTGGCTTAGGATTGACTTGGCGATGCGGGCTCTTTTTTGGTTCTATATGAACTTTAGTTTTTTCCAATTCTGTGAAGAAAGTCATTGGTAGCTGGATGGGGATGGCACTGAATCTATAAATTACCTTGGGTAGTATGGGTATTTTCATGATATTGATTCTTCCTATCCATGAGCATGGAATGTTCTTCCATTTGTTTGTGTCCTCTTTTATTTCGTTGAGCAGTGGTTTGTAGTTCTGCTTGAAGAGGTCCTTTACATCCCTTGTAAGTTGGATTGCCAGGTATTTTATTCTCTTTGAAGCAATTGTGAATGGGAGTTCACTCATGATTTGGCTCTCTGTTTGTCTGTTATTGGTGTATAGGAATGCTTGTGATTTTTGCATATTGATTTTGTATCCTGAGACTTTCCTGAAGTTGCTTATCAGCTTAAGGGGATTCTGGGCTGAGACGATGGGGTTTTCTAAATATACAATCATCTCATCTGCAAACAGAGATAATTTGGCTTCCTCTTTTCCTAATTGAATACCCTTTTTGTATTTCTCCTGCCTGATTGCTCTGGCCAGAACTTCCAACACTATGTTGAAAAGGAGTGGTGAGAGAGGGCATCCCTGTCTTGTGCCAGTTTTCAAAGGGAATGTTTCCAGTTTTTGTCCATTCAGTATGACATTGGCTGTGGGTTTGTCATAAATAGCTCTTATTATTTTGAGATATGTCCCATCAATACCTAATTTATTGAGAGTTTTTAGCTCAATAAAATACTGGCAAACCGAATCCCACAGCACATCAAAAAGCTTACCCACCATGATCAAGTGGGCTTCATCCCTGGGATGCAAGGCTGGTTCAATATACGCAAATCAATAAATGTAATCCATCATATAAACAGAACCAAAGACAAAAACCACATCATGATCTCAATAGATGCAGAAAAGGCCTTCGACAAAATTCAACAGCCCTCCATGCTACCATTTCTTGTAGTATGGCATAGCAGCAATAAATTCACTTAGCTTACATTATCTAAAAATGTCTTTATTTTAACTTCATTATTAAAGGATGTTTTCATTTGATATATAATTCTAGGTTGACTTATTCCTTTTATACTTTTACTGTGCCATTGCAGTCTTGGACCTCCAGAGTTTTCAATGAACACTACTTAGGCATTTGAATCACTGTTTTCCTAAATACAATTTGTCTTTTCTTTGTGGTTAGTTTTACAATTTCCTTTCTCTTTCTCTTTTGTTTCACTATTATATGACTAGACATGGAATTTTAGAAATTTATTCTCGTAAGAGTCCATTGAACTTCTGAAATCTGTGAATGTATGTCTTTTACCAGATTTGGGAAGTTTTTAACCATTACTCCTTCTAAGATATACTTTTACTGTCCTCATATCTCTTCTCCATTTGGGACTCCAATTTCCCATATGTTATACCATCTGAAATTCTCCTGAAGTTCTCTGACCTTTCTTTACTTTTTCAACATTTTTTTCTCTCTCTTCTTTGGGATAGATGATTTCTGTTTATTTTTGTCTTGATGTTCACTGACTTGTTCCTTTATCATTTCTTTGCTGCTATTAAGTCAATCCATTAATTTTTTTAACTGCAGATATGATATTTTTCAGTTATAAATTTATATTTGGTTCTATTTATATTTTTCTCTGCTGATATTTTCTACATTTACATTGTCTATTCATATATTTTCCTTTAACTCACTGAACATATTTACAATAGCTACTTTAAAGTCTTGTGTAATAATTCCAATACCTGGGTTTTCTCTGAGGCTATATCACATTTTCCTGACTTGGGGATGTCAGCTGATTTTGTATTTTATCCTTATTGTGCCTATTGTGTTGTGGAAACAGCATTCTGTTCTTATTTTGAAGACTGTTGATATTTTTTAATTAATGTGCAATTAACTTGGTTAGACTCAAACTGCAAACTGTCATGCCTGGGCTCAGATCTCAGTTTAGTTTTATTTTTAAACAATGGCTTCAAATTCCTTCTAGGTTGCATGAGTTGTGTGTGGTTCAGGATTCATCCAAAAACTTGAGTTTAAACACGTACTTGGGTATTCACCTTCTCTGGTACCATTCCCCCAGGGTTCTAATCTATGGAATCCAGCAACTTGCTTATCTCAGGCTCTTTCCTCTGCTTCCTCCAAACAGATTTTTTTTTGAGTTTTATTGACTACATTCACCCTGAAGGCAAGCATATGTACACATGCAAGCACATACACACCAGATAATTCATTTTATGCCAATAGCTTGTTCTATGTTTTGATTCTCCTCCAAAATCTTCTTGCCTCTCTTCAATCCCTAGAGTACTCAAGTAGTTATTTTTAAAATAATTAATCTTGGCTTTATAGCTGTTATTTCCAGAGGATCCATTTGTTAGAAGATCACTTCTCCACAGGGAACTTGCATAACCTACTTATTTACTCAATTACTCTTTCTTTCTTTTATATATATATATTTTTTTTTATTACACTTTAAGTTCTAGGGCACATGTGCACAACGTGCAGGTTTGTTACATATGTATACATGTGACATGTTGGTGTGCTGCACCCATTAACTTGTCATTTACAGTTAGAATGGCAATCATTAAAAAGTCAGGAAACAACAGGTGCTGGAGAGGATGTGGAGAAATACACTGGGTGGGACTGTAAACTAGTTCAACCATTGTGGAAGACAGTGTGGAGATTCCTCAGGGATCTAAAATTAGAAATACCATTTGACCCAGCCATCCCATTACTGGGTATAAACCCAGAGGAATATAAATCATGCTGCTATAAAGACACACACACACGTATGTTTATTGCCACACTACTCAATTACTCTTTCTTTCTAAATGACACAAACTTCAATAACAGTAGTTTAAAACTACTAAGAACATTTATTTGGCAACCTATTGCTTACCAGTTAAAATATCTTACATTCCATCTATTATAAAAATACTTTCATTGCATAGACAAATTTTAGACTAATTCTCCCTTCCTGAGATCACAAGATTGTAGTCATATTACACACACACACACACACACAAATATACAAATTTATGAAATTTGCTATGGAGTGTGTTTGCATGTATATATATTTCTGTGTGTGTGTGTGTGTGTGTTTGTGTGTGTGTATTGCCAGAGAAGAATGAGACCCAAAGCCGGAAAACCACTTTCCAAGGTCACAGTATGAATCCATGGCAGGCGAGAACCAGTTACTTAACTGCCCAATTGATTTTATTAACAGCAGGCTTCAACCAAGGAAGATAACTGATAACCCATTTTTAATGCCCTTTTAGCCTTAGCATTTGACTTTGGGATTGGACTTGCAACTTGCTTCAGCCTATGAGATGTTTGCAAATTTGACCCAAGCAGAGGCCTGAAAATTGCTATTTGACGTGCTTGCTCTGGATTTCCTGTCATGAGAACATGTGCAGGATATCCTGATAAAGGATGACATGCATGGAACACAGCTGAGTAATTCCAGTCATTTCTGCCCCGAAAATTCTAGATCAGCCACAGCCAGCTGACTCCCAGATGTATGAGTGAGCCTAACATTAGCTAAGCCTATCCCAGTTCAGCTGAAACCTGCAAATTAGTGAGCTGATTAAATGATCCTCATGTTTGAAATGCTTGTTCCCTGGTGCCGTAAAGAAATAGCACTTGAACATAAATTTAATTTCTCAGCAAGGCCATTTTTATACTTTCTGCAGAAATGGTACATTCACCAGCAGTTTTGCCAGGAGAGTATACCGAACAAAGGAGACAGGGTCATTTATAACCTGACGCATCCACCCTACTGCTGTATCCAGTTTCCATTGGCTGGAACGGGACCTCACATTCTGTATATGTCCCGATTGGCTAGCAACTTAGAACTTTTTAAAAGAGGCAAAGGCAGAGGAGAACAAAGGAAGGAGAAGTAACTTGTGGAATGCTGATAAAGGTAAAAACACCTTCAAATAAAGAAGAGGAACAGGCTATGACCTAATACTTGCTTGGAATAGGATAAGCATGTCAGGGCAAATATTTAGGCTAAATTGTGGGAGCTAAGAACATAAAGTACATTGATTTCTTTATTACTGCTAGCAGATATTGAAGAATGTTAGCACAGGTCTTTGAATAAATTTTGCTTCTAAGAGAAGTTACTATTTATTCTTAATTAGATAGGGAGGAAAGTCTTTGAAGACGAACCTCTACTTTTTATACTCGTATGTCACAAGGATTTATGGTTGTTTGTTATGCAACATTATTGTGGCTGACGGTAGTTGACACTTATATATTAGATGTTATAATCATAGGTCACTGGTGTTAGTCATTTGCATCCTCTGCAACACCTACTGAAACTCTTACATTCTCAACCTGCTCACAGATCAATTCCTGGACTTCCTCCACAACAATGCAGTTCTTTCTTTCTTGTGTTTTTTTCTTTCTCTGATTGTCTTTTGTGTGTAAATTATTTATTTTCTCACACTTTAACATGGAGTTGGGAGATGAGGTTGGAATTTTATGCTGCTGCATCCAAATTCTTTCTCTTCCATATTTGTGCAAAATAAGCTTTTTTAAAAAAAAATAGAGCCTGTTCACTCGCCTTCTAGGATCTTCAAAGTTTAGTGAACATCTTACACAGATTTGGATCCCAAATGCCTACCCTTGTCATAGAGTGAGAGCTTGATAAAATCTCTTTAGTTGAATAAACGAAATTTCTCCTTTGAGAATAGCACCATCTGGCAATACCATCCTATATTTCTTCTTGCTGTGTTCACCTACCAACATTCTGGCCATTATTCCATCTCTATTGAAGACGAGCAATTTACTCACAGTCTTTTATTCTGCCTCAAGATTTGCGGTCATCCAAGGAATTCAATGTCCATGTTGAAAGCTTATATAATACCCTGGCTTTATACTTATTTGAACTCTTTTTCACCAAGGATGATTTGTTTCTCTAAATTTCATCCACCAGAATACGTGATCACACCCTAACCCTTATACTCTCTTGGAACTGTTTATCCTCTAAAGTCTTCAATTCTAATACATTTTGCTATATGTCATAACTGCTTACCATTCCAGTTATTTTACACTTTAACTCCAGATTGCCTATACTAGATCTCATCATTTTGTCCTGGGAAGTCTATTCCTATCCTCCTCCCTGCAGTTTCTCACCTATCTATATTAGATATATAATCTATTCTTTATTATTATTATCCTCCACTCTTTGGCCATTTGTCCTTTTGTTTCATGAATCAGCAAAATACTGTCTTTGAATCTATGTAAATGAATCCTTTCTCCACTCTTATGCCCAAGCTAGTTTCCAGAACGTCTACCAAAAAATATGCAGCAGAGGAATTTGCATATTTGTCTCCTTTCCTTTTTTCATAGGTATCTCCCCTTTTCCTCTGAATTTCATCCTTTTATACCTATGCAGTGGGTTGACATTTCAGTTTTCTCTTCTTATCTCTAACGTCTCTTTCCCATATATTAAAAATATTTAACGTTCTTTTCCTAAACCAAAAATGTTTACTTTCTTATTTAGGCTCTGCACGATCTCTCTTCCTGGGAAAAACCAGAGTTATTAAAAAAAAGTCACCTTCATTTGTTAGGTATAATCTTTAATTCCAATTACCTTCAAGCTAACTATATTTAGGCCTATGCCTACATCACTCTACTGAATTTACCCTGTGTTAAAACAGACATTGATAATTATAATAGGTGCTCGGCCAAATTTATTGTCAAATTCTATTGTTGCATGACCCTTGTATCTTCTCATTTTCTCCTATTATTAGTAAAGCTTTAAAGAATAAAGAAAGAGCATTATTTGCAAAATTTGTTGAGTACTCACATTGTTTCAGGTTTGTGTGACAAATTATTTGCAAACTCAGTAATGGCTTTTCTGAAATTTTGATAAAAATCACATGCTTCCTATTGCTAAATCAGAAATGCCTCAGTCTCTGAAATTCAAAAGATGCTTTGTCACAAAGGCAATTCAAGACTTTTCCACTTGTCATGCTAGGGAATACTCTTTTAAAAGTCTTTTAAAAATCTTTTCAAAAGCAGATATTAATTTCTGAACATTTCTCTTCTGTAATGTAGATTTAGAGATAGAGACATTATTCAATGAGAATCTACTTCTCCTTTAATTTTCTTGTTTTTAAATAAAAAAACAGTTACAATTGTTTGACAGGGAGCAAGTATGTTGAAAAACAGGCTTTAATAAGTGGTTTTGCAGTATACTATTTCTTCTTTCTGTTTTTTCAAGTTTCTCTAAAATGAGGCCACAATATCTTCAATTTGAACAAAGAGCTGTGCTTTAGTGCATTGTGAATACTGTTGGCTATTACCCCACCATATCTATCCTCTGTCCTTCTTTTCCTTGTTCTGTTCCTAAAAACTGTATCATTAGGACACTACTCCCACTGGCTTATTACTAGATTTAGACAATGGGTGTCACTGGCAGGAGATAGGAGGGGAGGAAGAGATAATGGTCATTTCCTTCCTTCCTCTGTGCTGAGGCTTTGGCAATGACTGGACCTCTTAATTACAGGTGAAGTCAGGCTACCACTTTCCATGGCTCTAGCTCACACTGAGTTTGTTAAGAGCACTTCTTCTTTCCTTTCCCTTGTAGGATTAAGGATAGAAATAACTTCCAACTTTTATTTCTTGGATGCCTGTGTATTTTTCTATTGCTGTATAACAAATACATTTAAAAAAAAAAAAAACCCCAGCAGCCAGGTGCGGTGGCTCACGCCTGTAATCCGAGCACTTTGAGAGGCCAAGGCAGGTGGATCACGAGGTCAGGAGTTCAAGACCAGCCTGGCTAAGATGGTGAGACCCCATCTCTACTAAAAATAGAAAAATTAGCTGGGCATGGTGGCAGGCGACTATAATCCCAGCTACTTGGGTGGCTGAGGCAGGAGAATCTCTTGAACCTGGGCAGCAGAGGTTGCAGTGAGCTGAGATCATGCCACTGCACTCCAGCCTGTGTGACAGAGTGAGACTCGGTCAAAAAAAAAAAAAAAAAAAAAAAAGAGAGAGAGAAAACAAACAAACGAAAGCCTAGCAATTTAAATCAACAAATATTTAATATTTTAATTTTTATGGGTCAGGAATCAAGCAAAGCCCTCTTGGGTATCTGTGGCTTGAGGCTTATTGATGGGGAAAGGGAGTATCTGTTTCCAAGGTTATTTACATGATTATTTATGGGCCTCTGTTTCTTACAATATGGGCCTCTTCACAAGATTTTCTCATGATAGGTCAACTGGATTTCCCCAGGGTAAAAGATCTAAGAGAGGGAGAGTATGCCCAAGACAAAAGCCAAATATTTCTAACAGCCTAATTCTGGGAGTTATATCCCATTGCTTCTGCCATATTCTACTCATTAGAAATAATTTCGAGGTTTACAGGTATTTTTTTCTTTTAGTAATTTGAAGATGTTGCTCCACTGTCTCTCACTTGCTTTTTTCCCATGAGAAATGTGCTTTCTTCTTTATCTTTACTCTTCTGTATACAATGTGTCTTTTTACTCTGATTTATTTAAACATTTTTCTTTTTCACTGGTTTTGAACAACTTTATTTTAATGTGCAGTGGTATAGTTTTGTTTACGTTTCTTGTGTCTTAGTTGTGTTGAGCTTCTTGGGTATGTAGGTATATAGTTTTGGTGCAGTTTGAAAAAGTTTCATCCAAAATTTACTCACATATTTTTTGAGATCCCCTTTCAGGAACTCTGCTAACTCCTATATTAGGCTTCTTGAAATTATCTCACAGCTCATTGATGCTCTTTTCATTGGATGGGTGAAAGGGATCCTTTTTGGTTTCTATATTTCATTTTTTTTTTAGTTTCTATTGCTGTGTTTCCATGTTCACTAAGCTTTGATTTTGTTATGTAACATATCATTAATCGTACCTAATGCATTTATATCTCAGATGTTATAGTTTTCATCTCTCAAAATTTAGGTATTTTTATATCTTCCATGTCTCTAACTTTCCTAGTATGTGGAATACAGTTATAATAATATATAATATATATTATGTATAATGTTAATATATAATTATTATATACATATTAATGTATAATATTAATATATAATTATTATATATACAATTAATATATAATAAATAATATAATATTTTATATATATATCTTCAATTCAGAAAGGCAAGTGTTGGGAGTTCCTTGGGTTAGGTCTCAAGACGTGGGATGACTCTTTATGGTTCTCAGCTCTACCCTCTGGTCTATTGGTTTTGCCCTCTGAATCATGTCTTCTTTTTCATGAAAGGTAACATATATTTATTTTTTAACATTTCTCTCAACCTGTTTCTCCCAATACACTTCTGAAGGTTCAAAGGCCCCTCCTCATTATTTCCAATCATGTGATATTTCTTTGTATCTAATTCTTTTAAGAACCTCATGGGCATCCTTGAGTCAAGGTTCACCCCATTAGACAAAAGCCAACCCACAAACCTCTTTGAAATAAGTCTTCCTTAACCTTGGGCTTCTGCTGAGGTGGCTGAGGGATAACACCCCAAAGCTTCCAAGATTGGCTATTATTTTACTGAGAGGATCTGTGAAGCCCAGGCTTAATCTGTATGAGGAATCTCTTGTGTGACTAAATAGTACTTTGACAAACTCCCTTTGATTTATCTGAGGTCTTAACAAAAGGATTTACAGACACACTCTTGGTTTCATCTTTCAAACACTTTCCCCTGGCAGCGTCTTTGATTTGATCTTTGACAAAAAGGTATTTCTTCATTTTATCATCTGTTGCCATCTTGCAATATTGAGAATTTAAAAACCATCAAGAAACCCCAAGATATAAAAATGAATTTGAAATTGTGTATTTGAGAGGGGTGGTAATGAAATCTTAAAGTTGCTTTAAGATACCCTCTAGCTTTCTTGTTACAGTGGGAGATGAAGTCTGGTTTCAGCTATTCCACATGGCCAGCAACAGTAGTTCCTAATCAAACCTCAGCATTTTTCTTGAAATTTTATTTATAATAGGTTATACTTTTTCTCCTGAAGTGCTTTGTGATCAGATAGTATCGGTAATAATTTCTTGGGCCAGCGAGCAGAGATTTTCCATTTCTGGATTAATGGATAGGACACTTTTTATGGATTCTAGCTTTTATAAAGATGGGACAGACATTATTTCAGCTCTGTTCCCTGTATAGTTCTGACCTCTCATCACCTTTCTCTGTGTGTGAATTAAACCCCAGAACCCTTTCATTTATAGGAACCATAATTTAACTCATAATCAGTTAAAGTACATCAACAAAATGTTCTTTAGCCCTCATTCACAATTCTGGCTGAATTTTATTTGTTAAAGCTGTGCATGTTGAATACACACACACACACACACACACACACACACACACACACACACATATATACACACAAATATATATGTATACAAACATATATATATATATATATATATATATATATATATATATATATATATATGTTTCAATGAGTTTAGGGATAAAAATACACCCATCAAACCATCACCACAACCAAGACGGCAGACGTACTCATCACCTCTCAAAATTTCCTTCCAACTCTTTTTTAAGTTATTTTTGTCTGTGTGGTAAGAACACTTAGCATAATATCTTTTAGAAAATTGGAAATACAGGATACAGTATTGCTTGCTCTAAGCACTAGGCTGTATAGTAGATCCCCAAAATGTATTTATCTTGTATAACTGAAACATTGTATCCTTTGACTAACACCTCTCCATTTTCCCCTCCCACCAGCTTCTGGCAATCACCTTCTACTCTCTACTTCTATAAGTTTGACTATTTTAGATTCAACATATCAGTGTGATTATACAGTATTTGTCTTTCTGTGTTTGGCTTATTTTACTTAGCATAATGTCATCAAGATTCATCCATGTTATAACAAATGTTATGTTTTTCTTCATTTTAAGGCTGAACAATATGTCACTGTATGCATATACCACATTTTAAAATTATTTTCTTCCTCTGTTATCTTTGAGCTTAGTGTGTATTTTTTACCTAGTTCATTGAATTGTAAAGTTAGCTTGTTTGAGTTCTTTGATTTTTCTTAATTTAGCCATTTACCACTATAAACTTCTATCCTAGAACTGCCTTTGCTGCATACCCTAAGTTTTAGTATGTTGTGTTGTCAATTTTATTTATATCACGCTACATTTAAATTTTGTTTTTGATTTCTTCTTGATCCACTGTTTGTTTATCTCTGTTGTTAAATTTCCATATATTGTGAATTTTCTAACTTACTCCTGTTACAGATTTCTACTTTTATGCCACCATGGTTGGAAAAAATACTTACTATGATTTCAGTTTCTTAAATATGTTAAGACTTGTTTTATGGCCTAATATATGATCTATCTTGAGGAATGTTCCATGTCTACTTGAGAAGAATGTGGATTTGGCTTTTGTTGGATGGAATATACTGTATATTTGTGTTAGGTCTATTTGTCCACACTTTTGTTCAAACTGTTGTCCACACTATTTCCTGATGCTGGGTCAATCCTGGAGCCTTGATCCAAGGGAGATCGCTGGAGTGGACCTGGGACCTGGGACTGAGGGGGACAGCCTAGCACTAGGACAGCCCTGGACCCTAAGTCCATAAATATTATTTTGACTCCAGGGATCACTGGTGAGATCCTGAAACCTACATCCACGCGGGTCAGCCTAATGTTGGAATCGACTGGCTTGGGCCTGGAACCTGAGTCCGTGGTAAAGTTGAATGCACACTTCACTCTCTATTCCCCACGGGGAGCTCTCTGGGGGAGAAGATCTCTCTCAGCCCTGCAATGAGACAACTTGTGGAAGAGGTGACTTCAATAGAGTGAAACTGTCCTTCCTATCCTCTTCAATGGGTTTTTTCTCATTTTGGTGTTCTGCCCTATTGCTACAATCTCTTACCTGGAATCCAGAAGATATTGTCATGCATGGATGGCTGCTTATATGGGTGTTTCTGTGAGGGGGCAATGGGTGGAATCTTCTATTCTGCCATCTTGCTGACATCCTGGGTTTTTTAATCTGAGTAGCTCCTCGTATTGCTTTTAAACTTAGTATTTTGAAGTTAGAGAATGCTGTTGATGAGGGCTTACAGAAAAATGGTAAAAATATAAGAAACCAGAGATGTGCAGACAATACTAAAAACATATAACTATCTCCTATGTCACATTAAAGTATATGTTATGGAGAATAATGAAAGCAAAGGGAAGAATTGTTATCATTTTGGTACTTTTTTTTTCTTTTCTTTTCTTTTCTTTTGAGATGGAGTCTCATTCTGTTGCCCAGGCTGGAGTGCAGTGGCATGATCTCGGCTCACTGCAACCTTTGCCTCCCGGGTACAAGTGATTGTCCTGCCTCAGCCTCCTGAGTAGCTGAGACTACAGGTGCCTGCCACCACGCCCAGCTAATTTTTGTATTTTTAGTAGAGATGGGGTTTCTCCATGTTGCCTAGGCTGATCGCAAATTCTTAACCTCAAGTGATCCACCCGCCTCAGCCCCCCAAAGTGCTGGGATTACAGGTATAAGCCACCGTGCCCGGCCAGTATTGTGTTATTTTATGTTGAATGAGAAAGAAGTCGTCAGTTATAAGACAATTTTTAACAGAGGACTAATAAAGTTAGGGAGAAATAGGTGAGGAAAATGTTCCCCTGGAAGGGGATATATGAAACGCAAAAGCTCTGGAGCTGAGGATTGGCTGATGTGTTCTCAACACAGCAATAAGGCCACTGTTGCTGGGGTTCACCATAGCTGCAGCAGACTAAGTAAGGAGGAAAGAAGTAGATAATGCGCCAGACATAAGGGATGAGAAGATGGATTTTGTGAGGTCTTGCACACTATTTTACATATTTTGATCCTTATTCATGAGGTACCATTAGAGAATATTTGAGGAGAGTTGGGACAATCTGTTCTACCAGGTTCACTCTGGGTGCAGAGTTGATTATAGAATGTAGTGGCAAGGGCAATCATTTAGGTATCCAGTTAGGAGCCTATTGCAGTAATCACAGCAACAGATTATAATACCTTGAACCAAGGTAGTGATTAAGTTGTGTTGTTTTTTAAGATACTCAGTCTTTGTGTCTGGTGTGAGTGAGTGGGTAGGTTTATAAGTAAATTCAGTCTTGCAATGTAGACTAAAAGTCCTAACATCAAAATATTTAGATAAATAAGAATACCTTAGGTCAGTCTCTCAAAAGGAAACAGAAGACACATCCAAATAAGGGTAATGTGAAGAGTGCTGGTTTACAAAGGGATTATTGACAAAAGCATAGGCAGAAATAAGCTTCAACCCAGAGAGAAAGGGAACACTTTGATGTAGCCCATTCATGGCAAAATTTTAGTAGGAAAAGCTTAACGGGGCCGGGTGCGGTGGCTCATGCCTGCAATCCCATCACTTTGGGAGGCTGAGGCAGGAGGATCACAAGGTCAGGAGTTTGAGACCAGCCTGGCCAATATGGTGAAACCTCGTCTCTACTAAAAATACAGAAAGATTAGCCAGGCGTGGTGGCGCATGCCTGTAATCCCAGCTCCTTGGGAGGCTGAGGTAGGAGAATTGCTTTTACCCAGGAGGCGGAGGTTGCAGGGAGCTGAGATTGTACCATTGCACTCCAGTCTGGGTGATAGGGTGAGACTCTGTCTCCAAAAAAAAAAAAAAAAGAAAGAAAAGAAAAGAAAAGAAAAGAAAAAGCTTAATGGAGAAGGGTTGAGAGTGGATATACAGGCAAATAGAAAATATCCAGATCAAGAAAAACAAAAACACAACACCTGCCCACAAATTACTGAATTATAAAGTACCAACCATAAAAGGGCCCTCAGAAAACAATTTATTATAACTTATTTAACTATTGCTTGAGTGATTATTTAAGATTTTTCAATCATTTCCCATGTGTTAAGTTTTTCTATAATATCAAAATGCAAGTCCATGGTGCAGTATCTGACACACAAGAACAATAAATGTATTAAATAAATTAACCTATGCCTTATATATGTATATGAGATTCATAAATTTTATATAAACTCCCTTTTGTTACACATAAAATTTCAATGATGCTAGTATATAGCACATGACTTTTGTATTAGGGTGAGTGGATATTTAAATTCTATACTTTTATAATGTTAGTCTCATGTTTGGGTTCCCTTAAAATCAGAGCCTAGGACATAAATTTTACAACAAGAATTTTATTTGAAGAGTGATCCTAAAAAACAGGAGAGAAAGCAAGAGACAGATAAAAAAGTGAAGCTAATATAAACATGCATTATTGGGTTCGCTACTGAGGATTTAATTTAGATGAGGTCACTGAGAAGGCTAAAGAACACCACCCAGAATTACCACCTGGAAAATAGAAGGCTACATCCCATCCTCCCATAGGCTACAGAATTTTACATCCCATCCTCCTTTGGTTAAAGGCTGTTCTGAGGGTCATTAACATACTCCCAAACATACCCACAAATCTGCATTCTCTAGTGTGCTTTCAAAATAAGTTTCCTGGAAGAGGAGGCCCTAGGTCAGAATGAAAAAATATATACTTTTGTTTAATTCACTTGAATCCAAATGCTACAAGCTGCAAGGGAAGTTGGAACTGTCCACCAGGGCTGTGACTGAAATAAGGCACAGCCTAGGGCATGTGGCATGAACACTATGGATAAACTAGAAGCTAAACAATTTGAGCCATATTTTACGAGTAAAATACATCATCTACATTCTATGGAATCCCTGTATTTTCCTTATTTTGACAAATGTTCCTCTTACATTCAAATATAAACATGATTGAATCTCTGAAGAAATTGTAATTTTAATAAAGAGATTATCCTCTTAGAAAAATAATGACACTTTGGAACTCAATTCAAAAGATCACAATATATGCACTGATATTGCTCATCAAATGGTAAGGCAAGGTGACAACATGTCTGTTCATTTATTTTAGAATAGTAATAATAATTTTAAATTTAATTTATTTACATAAGAATATGTTATTTTTAATTTAAGAGTGAATTATTATTCACTTTGATAAATCAGCCTTATAAGTCTTAAACAAAAGTGAAATAGGGCATTCTAAAAGTATATTATTGAGAAAAACACTGACATTCAATGTGGACTTTAATTACAAATGTAAAATTCACTGACGCACAAGCTAATATCATCTGTCTTACTTGTTTTCTAATGTAGAGATAGGAGCATGGAAAGTTAATGTCACTTTTTTAACAAAGCAGGCAAAATCTTCTGCCTTTTAAGGTCAAAATTAGCTCCCCTGAGCTCCTTTGATGAAAACTTCTAGGAGACACTGAGTGACTTTATCTGACTTTCAAAAGAAAGTCTTGCAAAGGCATAATTCTAATTTGTATGGTTAATATGAGGGTCAATACTTGAATATCTCGAAAATCTGAATGGCTACATGAGTGAAAGAAAAACAAATCTTGCGGCCCCCAAATCACTGAGCTAAAGGGAAAAGTCAAGCTGAGAACTGCGCAGGGCAAGCCTGCCTCCCACTCTATTCAGTCATCCCTCTGCTCAATGAGATAAATGCATATCTGATTGCCTCCTATGGAGAGGCTAATCGGAAACTCAGAAGAATACAACCATTTGTCTCTTATCTACCTATGACCTGGAAGACCCCTCCCTGATTCGAGTTGTTGCGCATTTGCTTCCAGTTGTCCCACCTTGCTGTACCAAATCAATGTTTATCTTACATATGTTGTTTTTTCATGTGTCCCGAAAATGTATAAAACCGAACTGTGCTCCGACCACCTAAGGCACATTTCATCAGGACCTCCTGAGGCCCTATATCATGCACACATCCTAAACCTTGGCAAAATACAATTTCTAAATTAAATTGAGACCTGTCTCAGATATTCGGGGTTCACACATGTTAACATTTTTAACAGAATGTTTTGAAGTTTGTGAGAAAAAAGTTTCCAGGGATAAAAACATATAAGGAAGTCTTTCATTCCCTTAAATGGAGAAAAATGTGACAGACCTCTCATTTCCTGCTGAAATAATAATAATTTAAAATCACTAAATAATCCATTTTTACTCTAAAGCCATTGGAAAGCTAGGACACAAATACATATAAATTAGGTAAACTCCAGAGGATTGGCCCCTCCCTAAGTGATCAAAGGAAAGAGTGTTTTTGCATGCCTTTGGGATAATTGCCACATGGGGGCCAGACAGGCAGAGGGAAAAATCTGCCAGAGATGAGCAGTAATAGCCAGGAAGAGAAGAAACCAGTCAAATATCTGATTAACCTATAGCCTGAAATGTGGGGTTTTAATGTGGAGGAAACTGAAATGCAAAGACGATCATTTGCAACAAGTAGTTCTGATAATTTTTCAGTTTCAAGATCTAGGAAAAATGAGATGCCCCAGGTCTGAAGCATAGAGTCTTTAATTATGTACTTGCAGGGCCCAACTAGGGGGAAAATCGTGACCTCACTTTCGTAGAACAGGAAGCGAGAGACGAACTATGTTTAACCAAAGAAACCACTACAGTCTGGGTTTTAGCTCTGAAACAAAAGGGATAGGCTCAGACTTACAGTACTTTAACATTCAAGCACTTTCTAAAAAGATTAAGGTGGCAAACCTGCCCCACTCAACTCCTGATTGGCTCAATCTGATCAGCTGCTTCCTCTAGTTGTCTAAAAGTAGATGGGACACGCATGATTAAGCAAAAAAAAATATGCAAATGTATGTAAGTGTGTTTGTATATTGAATACATGATACAAGTAGCAAATAGTGTGTATTTAATAATATATATAATGTGTACTATATAACATATAATGCTTATTGTCTGATATACATTAAAATAATATTTATATAATATCCAACATACAACACTATACGCATATTATTTGATCCTCTAATCTTTTTAGAAAAAAATAAGTGAAACACAATTCAAAAGTTACAAAATGTGAAAATATAAAATGAGACCTGTAGTAAAGAGAAAATGCAGCCAATAGAAACAGACCCAGTGATTATTCATACACTACAATTATCAGACAAATGTTTTCAAATGATTATGAAAATTATGTAGAAAATATGCATTTAAAAGTATATAAAGAGAAAGAGAATGGGGAAAATCAGGACAGGTCTTGAATATGGCATAAAAATTGAGTGGAAATCCTTGAACATATATAATCAGTATGTCAAATTTTAAAAAATCACTGGATGTGAGATTGACTTCCAGAATGGTGGAGTGAGGACCGTGGTGAACTCCAACCCTCACACACTCACACAAAATAAAATGCTGGCAAAGCAACTAAAATCAGTGATTCTTAAGTGCTCAAAATTAACCAAAGCCACAGAACAAACTGAAAAAAATCTGTCCAAGAGAAAACTACTGATCCTCTGTAAGACTGGAGTGTATGACATTTCATCATGAGACTACTGCTATCTCTTTGTTCTCCTACCTCTCCATCTCATTTATGAGGTAGCCATGAAAAGCCAGAAGTAGAAGAAAGTCACAGAGATACATACTTAGACACATGTATTAGTCTGTTCGCATGCTGCTAATAAAAACATACCCAGGACCAGGTAATTCATAAGGAAAGAGGTTTAATGGACTCACAGTTCTACATGGCTGGGGAAGCCCCACAGTCATGGTGGAAGATGAATGAGGAGCAAAGTCACGTCTTACATGGAGGCAGGCAAGATATCTTGTGTAGGGGATCTCCCCTTTATAAAACTCATGAGACGTATTCACTACCACAAGAACAGCACGGGAAAGACCTGCCCCCATGATTCAATTACCTCCCACCAGGCCCTTCCCATGACACAAGGGAATTATGGGATCTACAATTCAAGATGAGATTTGAGGACACAGCCAAACCATATCAACACATAAAAATCAAATCCATGAAAGTCAAAAGGCAGAACAAGGTGGTCAAATAGATGCCTTCACCAATCAACCTCCCTGTAGGAACACCAAATTTAACAACTATCTACAGGAGAAATCACCTTTATTAGAACTAAAACTTAGGGGAATTACCACAGTGCCTGGTTGTAACTTTATGTCACCAAAAAATAAACTGAGTAGGGTAGGAAAGAAAGTCTTAAATTGCCAAAGACATCTTACCCCCATCCCATGGCAGTGGCCACGTGGAGTAGAGAAGCAAATTTGTGTACTTGGGAGAGGGAGAGTGCAACAATTGTGGAATCTTCCATTGGGACTTAGTGCTGCCATGTCATAGTGAAAGACAATATGCTCCGCTGGCACCCACAGAGGGAGCATTTAGACTAGCCCTAGTCAGAGGGGAATTGCCCATCCCAGCAGTCAGAACTGAGTTTTGGCAAGCCCTGCCACTGAGGGCTAAATTGCTCTGGAGTTCTAATAAATTTGAAAGGCAGTCAAGGCCACAAGAACTGCAAATCCTAGGCAAGTCCTGACACTCTGCTGGACATGGAGCCAGTGGACTTGGGGGGTATGTGACCTAGTGAGACACCAGATGGGGTGACCAAGGAATTACTTGCAGCACCCCTCCTCCAACCCCAGGAAGCACAGCTCACAGCTCTGAAAGAGACCTCTTCCTTCTGCTTGAGGAGAGGAGAGGGAAGAGTAAAGAGGATTTTATCTTGCATCTTGGATACCAGCTCAGCCACAGTAGTATAGGGCACTGGGCAGAATCATGAGATCCCTATTTGAGACTCTAGCTTCCTGGCAACATTTCTAGACACACCTTGTGCCAGAAGGAAACCTGCTGCCTTGAAGGGAAGGAATGAGTCCTGGCAGAATTTGTTACCTGCTAACTGAAGAGCCTTTGGGACCTGAATAATCAGCAGCAGTAACCAGGTAGCGCATGCTATGGGCCTTGGGTGACACTGTGAGATGTGCTAGCTTCAGGTGTGACCCAGCGAATTCATAGCTGTAGTGGCTATAAGGAAGGACTTCTGCTTGAGAAAAGTAGAGGGAAGAGTAAAGGTGACTAAGTCTCGCAGTTTAAGGACCAGCTCAGCCACAGTGGGGTAGAGCACCAAGCAGAAACTTGGGGTTCCTTATTGCAGTCCTTACCTCTTGGACAGCATTTCTGGACCTACCCTGTGACACAGGGAAGCCCACTTCCCTGAGGGTGAGTTCTAGGCTTGGCAGCCTTCACCACAAGCTGATGGAGGAGCCCTTGGGCCTAGAGTGAACATTGATGGTAGCCTGGAAGTACTCAGTGTGGGCCTGTGGTGGTTAGTAGACATAGTGAAAGATTCCCCTCTCTGGGGAAAGGTGAGATTAGAGTGGGAATGATTTTGTATTCTGGTTTGGCTGCCAGCTCAGCCATAGTAGTATAGAGCACCAGGTAGATTCCTAAGTTTTCTGACTCCCAGATGGCCTCTCTGGAACTACCCCAAGGGAACTCACCACACTGGAGAAAAAACAAAAGCCTGACGGGCTGATTGTAGAGCCCTAGCACCTTGAGTGAATGCAGACAATAGCCAGATAGTGGTTACAGTGGGCCTTTGGTGAGACCCAGTGCTGTGCTGACTTCAGGTCTGGCCCAGCACAATCTCAATGGTGATGGCCACAAGGACATTCATCACCTTCCCTCCAGCTCCAGGAAGCTCATCAGAGAGAGAGAGAGAGAGAGAGAGAGAGAGAGAGACTTCATTTGTGTGGGAGAAAGTAAGGAAAGAGAGAAAAGTCTCTTCCTGGTAATCCAGAGAATTCTTCTGGACATTATCCAAGATCACCAAGGCAATACTTGTATGAGTCTGCAAGAACCACAGCATTATTGGGCTTGAAGTGCTCCCTAATGTAAATATGGCTGCAGTGAACAAAAGCTTAGATCACAACACAAAAGTTTCTTCAAATACGTGGAAAGCCTTCCTAAGAAGGACAGGTAAAAACAAGCCCAGATTGTTAAGGATAAGATAAATACCTAGCTCTTCAATGCCCAGAGAGCAATGAACACCCATAAGCATAAAAATAATCTGGGAAAACAGGACCTCATCAAACAAAATAAATAAGGCACCAGGGACAAATCCCAGAGAGACAGAGATATGTGAACTTCAGACAGAGTTCAAAATAGGCGTTTTGAGGAAACACAAATAAATTCAAGATAACACAGAAAAGGAATTCAGAATTCTATTAGATAAACTTCACAATGAAATTGAAATAATTGAAAAGAATCAAGAAGAAATTTTGGAATTTAAAAATGCAACTGACATACTGAAGAATTCATCAGACTCCATTAATAGCAGAATAGATTAAGCAGAAGAAAGAATTAGTGAGCTTGAAGACAGGCTATTTGAAAATACACAGTGAGTGGAGACAAAAGAAAAAAGAATAAAAACCAATGCAGCATGCCTACTACAAGATCTGGAAAATAGTCACAAAAGGGCAAATCTAAAGTCATTGACCTTTAAAAGTAAGTAGAGAGAGATCAGGATAGAAAGTTTATTCAAAGGCAAAATAACAAAGAACTTCCCAAACCTAGAAAAGGATATCAATATTCAAATCCAAAAAGGTTATAGAACACCAAACAGATTTAACTCAAAGAAGTCTACCTCAAGATATTCAATAATAATACTCTCAAAGGTCAAAGGTAAAGAAAGAATCCTAAAAGCAGTAAGAGACTAGAAAGAAATAACTTACAATGGAGTTCTAATACTTCTGGAAACAAACTTTTGAGCGAAAATCTCACAGTCCAGCAGACAGTGACCTAACATATTAAAGTGGTGAAGGAAAAAAAAAAAAAAAAGGAAAGTTTTACCCTAGAATAGTTATCATGTGAAAATATACTTCAAATATGAAGGAGAAATACATTCTCAAGACTAACAAAAGCTGAGGGATTTCATCAATGCCAGACCTGTCCTACAAGAAATACTAAAGGGAGTTCTTCAATCCAAAAGAAAAGAATGTTAGTGAGTAATAAAAATAATCATATGAAGAAAAAAAAACTCACTGGTAATAGTAAATACACATACCATATTATAAAGTTGTAAGCGTGGTGTGTGAACTAATCATATCTTAAGGATAAATATGAAAAGATGAATTGATAAAAAATAATAACTACAACTAATTTTCAAGACATAGACAATACAATAAGATATAAATAGAAATAACAAAATGCGCACCAGCATGACACATGTATACATATGTAACTATCCTGCACATTGTGCACATGTACCCTAAAACTTAAAGTATAATAATAATAAATAAATAAATAAATAAAATAAAATAAAATAAACTGGATGATTAAAAAAAGAAATAAAAAAAGTTATAATTGGGGAAATGAAATAAAAGAGTCGATTTTTTATGAGTTTTCTTTTCCTGGTGTGCTTATGCAATAGAATTAAGTTGTCATCAGTTTGAAATAAGAGATTATGGGATATTATTTGCAAGCCAAATAGTAATCTCAAATCTAAAAATATACAAGAGGTACACAAAAAATAAAAAGCAATAAATTGAAATATGTAACCAGTGTTATTCTATGTTCACACTGCTATAATGAAATACTTGAGACTGGGTAATTTATTTTAAAAAAAGTTTTAATTACCTCACAGTTTTCACATACTGGCATCTGCTCAGCTTCTGGGGAGGCCTCAGGAAACTTTCAGTCATGGCAAAAGGTGAAGGGGAAGCAGGGACATCTTAAGTGCCTGGGGAGGTGCAAGAGAGAAGGTGGGGAGGTGCTACACACTTTTAAATGACCAGATCTCATGAAAACTCACTCATTATCACGACCAAGGGTGAGGGTAGTAAACCATTCATGAGAAACTTCCCCCATGATCCAATCACTTCCCACCAGGACCCACTTTCAACACTGGAGATTACAACTGAACAGGAGATTTCAGTGGGGACACAGATCCAAACCATATCATTCCACCTCAGCCCCTCCAAAATATCATGTTCTTTATGCATTTCAAAATGCGATCATGCCTTCCCAGCTGTCCCCCAAAGTCTTTACTTATTCTAACATTAACTCAGAAGTCAAAAGTCCAAAGTGTCATCTGAGACAAGGCTCATCCATTCTGCCTATGAACCTGTGAAGTCAAAAACAAGTTAGTTACTCCTAAGATCCAATGATGATATAGGGATTAGGTAAAAACTCCCATTCCAAAAGGGATAAATTAGCCAAAAGGAAGGGCCTACAGGGCCCATGCAGTCTGAAACCCAGCAATGCAATCATTAAACCTTACAGCTCCAAAATAATCTTTTTTGACTCCATGTCTCAAATCTAGAGCTCCTTGCATGTCTCACATGCAAGGGGTGGGATCCCAAGACTTTGGGCAGCTCCACTCTTGTGGCTTTGCATGGGTCAGTCCCTGTGGCTGCTCTCAAGGGTGGTCGATAAGTGCCTGTGCCTTTTGCAAGTGAACAGCACAAGCTGTCAGTGGATTTATTATTCTGGGGTCTGGAGGACAGTGGCTGTCTTCTCACAGCTCCACTAGGCAGTGCCCAAGTGGAGACTCTGTGGAGGCTCCAACTCCACATTTCCCCTCCACGCTGTCCTAGTAGAGGTCCTCCATGAGGGCTCCACACATTCAGTAGACTTCTGCCAGACAGTCAGACTTTTCCATACAGCCTCTGAAATCTAGGTGGAGGCTCACAAGCCTCAACTCTTGCACTCTGTGAATCGGAAGGCTTAACATCACATGGAAGCTGCCAAGACTTAGAGCTTGCATCCTCTGAAGAGGTGCTCTGAGCTGTACCTGGGTCCCTTTGAGCTATGGCTGGGGCTGAAGCAGCTGAGACACATGAATCAGTGTCCTAGGCTGCACAGGGCATCAGGGTCCTGGGTCAGGTCCACAGCTATTTTTCCCTCTTAGTCCATCATGCCTTTCTCCCCATTGTCTTGGCTATCAGCATTTTTCTTTCTTTTACGTATGAAAATTTCTGCAGCCTGCTTGAATTCCTCTTCTGAAAATGGGCTTTTTTTTTCTACCACATGTCCAGGTTGCAATTTTTTTTAATTATTATGCTTTGCTTCTTTAAATATAAGTTCCAGTTTCCGGTCATTTCTTTGCTCACACGTATGAGCATAGGCTGTTAGAGGCATCCTGGCCACTCTTGAACACTTTGCTGCTTCACAGTTTCTTTCCCCAGATAAACGAAGTCATGTGAAAGTATAGTTATGGAAGTATAGAGGAAATGAATAAAGAAAATGAGGTACATAAACATTATGGAATACTATGCAGCCATAAAAATGAATGAGATCATATTCTTTCCAAGAACATGGTTGGAGTTGGAGGACATTATACTTAGCAAACTAATTCAGGAACAGAAAACCAAATACCGCATGGTCCCACATGTAAGTGGGATCTAAATGATGAGAACACACAGACACACAGAGAGAAGCAACACACACTGGAGTCTATTGGAGGATGGAGGGTAGAAGGAGGGAGAGGATCAGGAAAAATAACCGATGAATACTTTGTGATGAAATAATCTGTCCAACAAACCCCTCATGACACAAGTTTACCTATGTAACAACCCTGCGCATGTACCCCCAAACATAAAGTAAAAGTTACAAAAAGAAAATGAATAAGGCCTTTTATTTGATGGCACAACAGTGTGACTACAGTCAAAAAATTATTTGTACATTTTGCAATATAAAATAGCATAATTGGATTATTTGTAATAGAAATGATAAATGCTTAAGGGTATGGATACCCCATTTTCCATGATGTGATTATTGCTTATTGCATGCCTGTATCAAAGTTTCTCATGTACCCCATAGATATTTATACCTAACATGTACCCATGAAAATTTAAAAAATAACAATAAAGAAAAAGGTAGATAAGTGTGCTTTATTTATTTAAGAAGGGGAATACTGTATAATAGCAAAAATGAACTAACCAGAGTTGCATGTAACAACATATATAGCAATCTTTACAAACATTACATAACCCTTACAATACTTTTATGATTTAGATATTACGTTCTTCCAGATGAGTGAAGTCAAGCTTAAAGGCTAACTTGGCCCAGAGATATAACCTGGAGCCAAGACTTGAATCCAGATTTACATGAATTCCATGTTCATATACTTTGTATGACTCTGGAAGACTTTCAGGACTTTTCCTCAGTCAAGATGGACCAGATGAAATAATAAAACGTTTTAGCTTCCTACTAGTCCTCAGTTCCATTTTGTCACTGAAGGGTCTATTCAGTTCTGAAGATATAGCATGTCTAAAATGGAGGACATATTTCTAGTTTTTCATATACAAAATAAACATCAATATTTTTCTGCAGTTGAGTCTATTTTTAATTATACTGATACAAAAAGATGCATAATTTGCTCATCTATGTATATAGATACTAAGAATTATATTCTTTTTATAATCTCATCCCTAGTTTGACACAGCAGTTCCAGAGAGTATTGATGAAAGTTTGCTCCAACGAGCAGTTACAGCAATATCATCAGTACATTGTATGATTTTCTGATTGATCTTTTTTCTAAAGTACTATATGTAGTTATTGAATACAAAACAGTAATATTTTCTGTTTAAAGATGCCCCATAATTAAATGTGAATTAAATTTTGCCTTGAGTGTCTACAGTGCACAGATTCAGCTGCATGACAATACCAATACTGATAAATTATTGATTGGTTGTCTTACCAAGAAACCTCCTCTATTCTACCAGCTAATAGTTGACTTTCCTGAATTTCCTTCTTGCTTGTCTAAAATATTTACACATACAAACTTGTTAAAATCCTAAAGAAATTAAAAATCAGGAAATAATTATATGTTTAAAATGATGATATCATCTACATAGAAAATAAATGCCTTTAAAATACTGGAAATAGACATGTGAAATTCCCATTAGTGGTTGAAAAAAATAAACTTTATTGTTTACGGAAACTTAAATTTAGAGCTAGTATTTTCACTCCATAATGAAGTAACTGGCAATGACCTAGTTTTTCTATCATAAATGGCTATAACACTGCACGAGCTATAGAAGACAACTGTTATCAACTGTTGCACAATAAGCAGCATATGATTGTGATCCCTGATAAGAGAAAAATTAGGTGACCCAAATATCCTCCCAGACATTCAGCCTGAGTAAATTTTTTTGGACTGTAACAAAGGGAGGGGAATCTAGAACACCATATGGAGAATGAAGTGAACTGGAGATGCAGAGGTTAAATCCAATTCTACTAAGCTGGTTGATATCATGATACAAGGTACTAGAGCAAAGGGAGCTGTGCAGGAAAGGAGATCCAGAAATATGCTTTAGGGGTCTTCTCAATTGTTTGGCTGAGTACTATCTCTGTTGCACATGCGTGTGGGTGAGATTCCACATGGTTGAGCAAAACACTCCTGGGGTACATCCAGGAAAATCATTTACTTGGAAGTTGTGAACTGAGTATCTACAAATGCTCACATAATTTAAACCTGTTAAATTTAAGTGGTAAATCTTATTAAACACCCTGGATATACAGTATATACTCCAGAAAGACTAGACTCTGAGGAGCAGAACTAATGAAGCATTAGAGCAAAGGGTACTTAAAACCCACCCTAATAAAGCCTATAGCCAAAGACAAACAAAACAGAGCCGCGTGTAAATTAACTGTCTGCCAGAACAACAGATAAACAAATAGTATACTATGCTACAGGAGACAAGAAAATCCAATCAACAATATAGATTTCATAATGCCCAGTACATGACCAAAATTTTTAGATATATGTTAAAGCAGGACAAATGTGTCCCATAGCCAGCACAAAGATAATACAAACAGAATGAAAAAATGACAAATTATGAAATTTGTACACAAGATATTAAAACAACTATTACAAACATAGTCAAAGTTTTAAAGATAAACCACTAAGACAATGAGGGAATCTCAATTCATACAAAGAAAATATAAAAAAACTAATTAAACAGAAATTTCAGAAATGAAAACAGAATACCAAAAATTAAAAATTCATTAATGACTTTCATAAGATTAGAAATGCAGAAGAAAAATCTAATTATGAATACAAGGCAGTAAAAGTTATTCAAACTGAGGCACAAACATTAAAGCTGTAAAGCCAAAAGAGACTCAGTGAATAGTGTGAAAGTATCAGGTAGTCTATATATGTGTTATTGATATGCCAGTGGGAGAGAAATGAGGTATAGTGGCAGAGAAAAACATTTCAAGAAATAAAGTTATAAATGTTTCAATGTTGATGACAAAAATATGAACCCATATCCGGGAAGATCAAGAAATCTAACCCAAGCAGGATAAATTAAAAATAAAACTACACCAGGACACATAACAATCAAATTGCTGAAAATCAATAATAGAAATCAAAATAATTAAAGCAACCAAAGAAAAAAGATGCATTATATAGAGAAAAACAACCTTAATAACTATAGCTGAGTGTTCATCAGAAACAATGCAAACCAGAAGACTATGGAATAAAATATTTAAATGTTTTAATTATATCTCTACCAAAAATATCCTTACAAGTGAAGATGAAATTAATGTATATTCAGGAAAATAAAGCAGAGAAAATCTAGGCCCAACAGACTTGCAAGAGATAAAAAGTTGAAGGGAGCTCTTTAAGCCAAAGAATATTACATTAGATGGAAAATTTCAATCAAAAGTGAAAAGATTCAGAAATTGGAAATATACGGGTAAATGTCTTTTTGTCCCATTCTTTTTTTTCCATTTTAATAATATAATTTATTTAACCCAATATATCCATAATATTGCCATTTCAGCATGTAATTAATATAAAAATCATCAGTGAGATATTTAATTTTAAAAATTTCTTTAAAATACAATTGAATACATCACCTACTGCTTAGGAGGCAGAAAGCTGGACAAAGGGCCACCCCCCAAATGAATGAAAGGAAAAAGCTGGTTAATGTACAAAATTATAATTTCTTTTTACCCATCTTGATAGCTGAGATCTCAGAGCACCCAACTAACGTTAAAACTATAGGAAAACAGCATTCAAGGGGAAATAGAACACATGCACTTGCTTATCTGGGGCAGAACCTGGGAATAATAGACATATGGCACCATAAAGTTGCTATGAAGAATTCTGCTGAACTTGGTAATCATTTGGTAGAGACGAAAAAGGGCAAGTACGATGTACAACACTTGGGAGACACAGAACCAAGAGGGAATTGTCCTCGTTCATTCACAGGCTCTTTTGCACAATGGGAGCTGAAAAGAAAGATTAGAGCCAGGGAAGGAGATTTGAAAAAGTCTTCTGTATGGTACAGACCTAGGGGAGGAGAGAAACATCTGCCGAGGAAAAGGGACAAAGGAACATCTGGAACCTTCTTAATCCCCTGCTAGAGAACAGAAGCCTTAAGCTTCTGGGAAAAGGACAGCAAACCCTGATGTTTTCAAGTCATAAGTAGCCCTGTTGTGGCTACAGGAAGGGATCATAACAACACCATTTATCTTAGGGGAGAGGCAAGGGTTGATCCCATTAGAAATCTCTAACCACTATGGGAGGGGTAAAATCACTGAGCAATCCCACCCTTGAGAGTCAGGGGGCACAAGGCACATGTAAGATTAAGGCTAACTAGGACTATGTCCATCGTTCATAGATTGGAAAATTCAATATTGTTAAGAGGACAAGTCTCCCCAAATTAATGTATAGATTAAATATGAGCCCAATTGAATTGCCAGCGTGATTTTTAAGAATAGATGACAAAGTGATTATAGAAATTCTAATCAATTTGGAGGAAATATTTCAATAAATCTTTCAATAAAATTATAATAATCAAGGTAGTCTGACATTTGCAAATTCATAGGCATATAGAACTATAAAATAGACTAGATAGTCCAGAAATATACCTAAACAAATATAGCCAACTAATTTGTGACAGGGTGAAAAGGCAATTCAATTAAGGCAGGATAGTCTTTACAACAAACAATGCTGGAAGATTCGGTCATCCATAAATTTTAAAAATGAACTATACTACACACTCTACAAAAAATTAACTCTAAACAGAACATAGACCTCATTACAAAATTAAAAACTATCAAACTTCTAGTATAAAACCTAGGAGAAAATCTTTGTGACCTTAGTTTAGGCAAATAATTAGTAGACATGACAATCAAATCATAAGCCACAAAAACAGAAATTATAAATTAGACATTCTCAAACATAAAATGTTTCCTCTCTGAAAAATAACTTTTAAGGGGATAAAATGATGAACTACAGACTTGGAGAAAATATTTGTAAATCATGTATTTGTCAAAATATAAAACACCAAAATATATCCATAATATAAAAACACCTCTTAAATCACTTAAATCTCAAAGATAGGAAAATAACCAAATAATACAGTGGGATATAAATGCCCCGTCACTAGAGAAGATGTACAGATGGCTAATAAGCACATAAAATTTTATCCAACATTATTAGTCATTACGGAAGTGCAAACTAAAGCCACAATTAAGTATCACTTCATATTCATTAGAATAACTAAAAAACACACATGGAAAAATATCAAGTGCTTGTAAAGGCATTGATATCGAGCAACTGTAATATTTATGCCTTGATGATGAGAAATGCAAACTCGTATAGCCACTTTGGGAAACAATTTAGCAGTTTCTTATAAAGTTAAATATAGACTTGCCATATGACCCAGCAATTCTACTTAATGAAAACTCATTCACACAAAAACCTGCATGTGATCATTCACAGGACCTTTATTGCTAATCACTAATAACTCTAAACAACCTAATGTCCTTCAAGCGGTAATGGATTAACAAACTGTGAAACATTCACGTAATGGAATATTACTGGCAGTGAAATCACTGGTATGATTCCACTTATCTGGTGGTCCGACAAGGACATATCTATAGGAACTGAGAGCAGATTAGTGATTCCTAGGGTTTTACTGTAAAAGGGCCACAACAGGGAATGTTTTGCAGTCATGGAACTGTCCTCTATCTTGATTGTGGTCATGTATACAGGACTCTATGCATTTGTCAAGACAGCTAAAACTGTAAACCAATAATGAATTTTACTGTATGTAAATTTTAAAAAGTAGAAATGAGGATAAAATAAAGATATTTTTAGGAATAAAATTTCAGAGAATTAACTGCCAGCCAAACTGCACTATAAGAAGTGTTAAAAGGAAATTCATCAGGCATGAAATTCCATCTACCCTAAATGAAGGGTACTAGAAACGGTATAAATGACTGTAAAGAGCATAATAATTTTCTTATCATTTCTAATTGTTTAAAAACACAATTGGCTGTCTAAAGCAAAAACAGAAGCAGTGTGTTGTATGTTTATATTATATGTAAAAATAAAATGAACAAAAAGAATAGCACAAAGTGGAAGGGGAGAATTGGTAGTATACTCTTTTACTTTGGAGTAAACATAAAGTCGTACAATAATATGTGCACATAGTGTATGATTAATAAGAAATATACATTTTAAACACCAGGGCAAACATTACTTGAAAAATAGAATAAATAAACATAAAATGGAATTACAATAAATATTTTATTAAAAAGTAGACAGAAAACAAGGAAAAAGTTACAAGGACAAGTGGAACAAATATTTAAATATAGCTAGTTGGTAGAGGTTAAACCCACCATATCTGTGCACTATACTGACAATGTAACATCTGCCAGTTGCAAAAGAGAAATTTTTATAATATTCTACTCCATTATCATAGGGCCATCTAGGAGGGATAAATTTGGAATTGAGAGACAATAAATTGTTATCGGGAAGAAACACTTGTAAAACAACTCTATAGTTAACATCATACTTAATGGGGAAAAAACCTAAATGACTTCGCCCTAAGAACAGGACCAAGGCAAATAAGTTTTTTTTTTTCTCACGTCTATTCAAAATTGTACTGGAAATCCAAGCCTCTGGAAAGAGGCAAGGAAAAACAAGTATATATCATACAGATTGTTTGTGTATGTGTGTGTATACACACACACACACACACACACACAAACAGTATCCAGAAAAGTATAAAAGATTGTATTCATACAACGTTTATTGACAATTGTTTCTAAAGCTTATATGGAAATGCAACAGACCCAGAATAGCCAATGCAATGCTAAGAAAGAGGGAAAAAGTTAGGGAATTCACATTACCCAATATGAAACTCACTATAAAACTACAAAAATTCAGAGACTTTGGTATTGGCAAAATAATACAGTAAGTCCCCACTTAAGATTGTCCATAGTTTATGGAAACTGTGACTTTAAGGAAAATAATGTATACAAAAAAACCCCACAATTTTCCCATAGGCTAGTTGATATAAATAAGAGTTGTATGATGTATTTCTGGTCATGAAAACATTACCAAGCTTCTAAATAGACACCCAAGCAATTCTAACATTAAACATTAAAGTAAATGTGAGTTATACATACGTTTAAGAAAGAGTAATAAAGACAAGTAAGATAATTATTTACTCAAATTTTGATTAATCCATGAGTGATGGCAGTTGCAGTGGTGGTGTATTAAATCAAATAATAAATGTTTCAAAACCAAAAATTATAGGGAGCACCTCCTAACACCATGCAGTCCAAAAACAAGAACAAATTGGACAGGCTCACTGAGCACTTTTGTATCATTTATTGTCATGCATCAATACGATTGTTGTATACTTCCTAAATTTTTATTTGACAATAATATGTGTTTATTCATTCATTTTCCAACCTGATTATTTTAGTTCAGGGTTACAGGTGGCCAAAGCCTATCTCAGTAGCTCAAGGCACAACATGGAAACCAACCCAGGACAGGATGCCATTTCATCACAATGCACATTCAAACCTATAACCTACAGCCCACATTCATATGGACTGGGAGAATGTAGACATTCGTTGAGATGTGGGAAAAAATCAGAATACCTGGAAAAAAAAAACACGCACACACACAGAGACATGGGGAGAACATGCAAACACCGCACAGACAGTGGACCCTGCTGGGAATCAAATTTTTTTTTCTCATCAACGTTATAAAAAAATGGCATTAAATAAAATGATGTTACTCAAGGATCTGCTGTACACTCATAGATAAATAGGACACGATAGAGAGCCTAGAAAGAGACCCACACAAATGTAGTAAACCGATTTTTCACAAAGGCCAAAAGCAATGCAATGAGAAAAGGATAATCTGTTCAACAAATGACCCTAGAAAAATTGGACTTTTACATGTAGATAAATGAATCTAGACAAATAACCTAGATGTTTCACAAATACTAACTCACTATGTATGATAGATCATAATGTAAAATGTAAAATTTCTAGAAGAAAACATTGTAAAATGCAAAACTGTAAAATTTCTAGAAGAAAACATTGGGAAAAATCTGATTGAGCTGGGATTTGGTGATGAATTAGTAGAAAAAAAGACCAAAATCATGATCCACAAAGGAAAAAAAATTGTAAGTTGAACATTACTAAAATAACAAATGTCTGCTCTGTGAAAGATACTGTTAAGAAAATGAAAATACAAGAGGACACCAACAAATGGAAAAACATTCCATGCTCATGGATAGGAAGAGTCAATATCAGGAAAATGGTCATGCTGTGTAAAGTAAATTATAGATTCGATACTACTCTCATTAAATTACCATTGACATTCTTCACAGCATTAGAAGAAACTATTTTAAAATTAACATGGAACCAAAAACAGAGCCTGAATAGCCAAGACAATCCTAAGGAAAAAAAAAAAAACTGGTACCAAAACAGACAAATAAACCAATGGAACAGAATACAGAACTCAGAAATAAGACTGTACACCTACAATCATCTGATCTTCAACAAACCTGACAAAAAGCAAGTAATGGGAAATGGATTCCCTATTCAATAAATGGTGCTGGGAGAAATGGCTAGCCATATGCAGAAGATTGAAACTGGACCCCTTCCTTACACCTTATACAAAAATTAAGTCAAGATGGATTAAAGACTTAAATGTAAAACTCAAAACTATGAAAACCCTAGAAGAGAATCTAGGCAACACCTTTCAGGACATGGGCACTGGCAAAGATTTCATGACAAACATACCAAAAGTAATTGCGACAAAAGCAAAAATTGACAAGTGGGGTCTAATTAAACTAAAGAGCTCTGCACAGCAAATAAACTATCAACAGAGCAAACAAACAACCTATGGAATGGGAGAAAAATTTTGCAATCTATCCATCTGACAATGGTCTAATATCCAGAGTCTACAAGGAACTTGAACTTACAATAAAAAAAAAAACCATTAAAAAATGAACGAAAGACATGAGCAGACACTTCTGAAGAGAAGACATTCATGCAGCCCACAAACATGAAAAAAATCTCAACGTCACTGATCATCAGGGAAATGCAAATCATAATCACAATAAGATACCATCTCACGCCAGTCAGAATGGCATTTATAAAAATTCAAGAAACGGCCGGGCGCGGTGGCTCACGCCTGTAATCCCAGCACTTTGGGAGGCCGAGGCGGGTGGATCACGAGGTCAGGAGATCGAGACCATCCTGGCTAACAAGGTGAAACCCCGTCTCTACTAAAAATACAAAAAATTAGCCGGGCGCGGTGGCAGGCGCCTGTAGTCCCAGCTACTCGGGAGGCTGAGGCAGGAGAATGGCGTGAACCCGGGAAGCAGAGCTTGCAGTGAGCCGAGATTGCGCCACTGCAGTCCGCAGTCCGGCCTGGGCGACAGAGCGAGACTCCGTCTCAAAAAAAAAAAAAAAAAAAATTCAAGAAACAACATAAGCTGGTGAACTTGCAGAGAAAAAAGAATATGCTTTTACATTGTTGGTGGGAGTGTAAATTAGTTCAACCATGTGGAAGACATTGTGGTGATTCCTCAAAGACTTAGAGGCAGAAATATCATTTGACCCAGCAATCCCATTACTGGATACATCCCCAAAAGAATATAAATCATCCCATTATAAAAATACATGCACGTGTATGTTCATTGCAGCACTATTCACAATAGAAAAGACATAGAATCAACCCAAATGCCCATCAGTGATAGACTGGATAAAGAAAATATGGTACATAGGTCCGGGCACGGTGGCTCATGCCCGTAATCCCAGCAATTTGGTAGGCCGAGGCAGGTGGATCACCTGAGGTCAGGAGCTCAAGACCAGCCTGGCCAACATGCCAAAATTCTGTCTTTACTAAAAATACAAAAAATTAGCGGGGCATGGTGGGGGATGCCTGTAATCCCAGCTACTTGGGAGGCTGAGGCAGGGGAATCACTTGAACCCGGGAGGTGGAGGTTGCAGTAAGCCGAGATTGTGCCACTGCACTCCAGCCTTGGCAACAAGAGCGAAACTCTGCCTCAAAAAAAAAAAAAAAAGAAAGAAAGAAAGAAAATGTGGTACATATACTCCATGGAATACTGTGCAGCCATAAAAGGGAATGAGATAATGACCTTTGCAGGGACATGGATGGAGCTGGAAGCCATTATCCTCAGCAAACTAAGGCAGGAACAGAAAACCAAACACTGCACTTTGTCACTTATAAGTGGGACCTGAATGACAAGAACACATGGACACATGGGGAGGAACAACACACATTGGGGCCTGTCAGAATGGGTTGAGGGAGGGAAAGCACCAGGAATAATAGCTAATGAATGTGGGCTTAGTTTCTGGGTGATGGGTTGATCTGTGAAGCAAACCACCATGGCACACCTTTACGTATGTAACAAACCTGCACATCCTGCACATGTACCCCAGAACTAAAAATAAAAGTTGAAGAAAAATAAAATGAAAATACAAGCTACCGTCTGAGAGAAAATATTTGTAGTATACACACTTAATCATGGACTGTCATCCAAAATATACAAAGAACTCTTAAAATGCAACAACATGAAAACAAATTAATCCAATTTTAAAAATGGACAAAAGATCGGAACCCACACCTCACCAAAGTTAAAGAGATGGCAAATAAGCATATGAAAACAAGCACATCATTTGTTATTAGTGAATTGCAAACTAAATCAACAATGATATAACATCACATATTCATAAGAATAACTAAAATACAAACCCAAAACAAAACAACCTGACAACACTAATTGCTGCTGATGATGTGGAACAATAGGAACTCTCATTAACTGCTGCTGGGTATGAAATAGTACAGCTACATTGGAAGATAGCTTGGGCGTTTTTACAAAGTTAGAAGGATGAAAACAACATGATTATTTTTAATAGATGCATAAAAACCATTTGACAATGTTCATCACAATGCCTGATCAAAAGATCCAGAGACATTAGGAACAAAAAAGATTTCTCCTCACTTAAAAAATGTCTTCTAAGAAAACCTTACAGCTATCATTAGAGTCAATAGTAAAAGAACAAGTATTTTATTCCTAGGATAAGGAAAAAGGAAATTATGCTCACTCTCACACCAACTCTATTTTTTTTTTTTTTTTTTTGAGAGGGAGTCTCACTCTGTCGCCCAGGCTGGAGTGCAGTGGTGCGGTCTCGGCTCACTGCAACCTCCGCCTCTGGGGTTCATGCCATTCTCCTGCCTCAGCCTCCCAAGTAGCTGAGACTACAGGCGCCTGCCACCATGCCCTGCTATTTTTTTGTATTTTTAGTAGAGACGGGGTTTCACCGTGTTACCCAGGATGGTCTCGACCTCCTGACCTCGTGATCCGCCCGCCTCGGCCTCCCAAAGTGCTGGGATTACAGGCGTGAGCCACCGCACCCGGCCCACACCATCTCTATTTAACATTGTGCTGTAGGTTCCAGACAGTGTAATAAGAAAAAAATAAATGCATGAAGTTTTAAAAGAATAAATTAAACTTCTTTTATTTATAGATGACAAAATACTATATGCAGAAATCCTAAAATCACACCCACAAAACTTCAAGAATTAATAAGCTGGTTTAGCTATGTCAAAAGAGAAATGATAAATAAAGAAAATAAATTGTTCATAGAAATATAAACATATGCACACATATAATATGTGTATATATATATATTAGCATTGAACAACTAAAAAATAAAATTAGAAACAGAGTTTCATTTACAGTAGCATCCAAAAAATAAAATACTTAGGAATAAATTTAGCAAAAGAAGTGCAAGAGCTGTATACTGAAAACCACCATACATGCTGCGATAAATTTTAAGACTTAAATAAAAAGAGAAGCATTTCATGTTCGTAGATTAGAAGACTCAGCATTGTTAAGATTGCAATTGTCCCCAATGTTGTTCTCTAAAGTAGTTACAATCACTATCAAAATCCCATGTGTAATCTTTATTTTTTTAACTTTTATTTAAGTTCAGGGGTCCATGTGCAGGATGTGCAGGTTTGTTACATAGGTAAATGTGTGTCATGGGGGGTTGTTGTATGGAATATGCTATCACCCAAGTATTAAGCCTAGTATCTGTTAGTTATTTTTCCTGATCCTCTCCCTCCTCCCACCCTCCACCCTCTGATAGGTCCCAGTGTGTGTTGTTCTCCTCTGTGCATTCGTGTGTTCTCATCATTTAGCTCCCACTTATAAGTGAGAACATGTGGTGATTGGTTTTCTGTTCCTGCATTAGTTTTCTGAGAATAATGGCTTCCAGCTCCATCCATGTCCCTGCAAAGGACATGATCTCGTTCCTTTCTATGGCTGCATAGTATTCCATAGAGTGTATGTACCACATTTTATTTATCCAGTCTGTCACTGATGGGTATTTGGGTTGAGTCCATGTCTTTGCTATTGTGAATAGTGCTGCAATGAACATACACGTGCATGTATTTTTATAATAGAATGATTTATTTCCTTTGGGTATACACCCAGTAATGGGATTCTTGGATCAAATGGTATTTCTGCCACTAGATCTCTGAGGAATCACCGCACTGTTTTCCACAATGGTTGAACTAATTTACATTCTCACCAATAGTATCTAAGTGCCCCTTTTTCTCCACAACTTCGCCAGCATCTGTTATTTTTTGACTTTTTATTTATTTTTTTGTTATTTATTTATTTTTTATTATTATACTTTAAGTTTTAGGGTACATGTGCACAATGTGCAGGTTAGTTACATATGTATACATGTGCCATGCTGGTGTGCTGCACTCATTAACTTGTCATTTAGCATTAGGTATATCTCCTAATGCTATCTATCCCTCTCCCCATCCCACAACAACAGTCCCCAGAGTGTGATGTTCCCCTTCCTGTGTCCATGTGTTCTCATTGTTCCATTCCCACCTATGAGTGAGAACATGTGGTGTTTGGTTTTTTGTCCTTGCGATAGTTTACTGAGAATGATGATTTCCAATTTCATCCATGTCCCTACAAAGGACATGAACTCATCATTTTTTATGGCTGCATAGTATTCCATGGTGTATATGTGCCACATTTTCTTAATCCAGTCCATCATTGTTGGACATTTGGCTTGGTTCCAAGTCTTTGCTATTGTGAATAGTGCTGCAATAAACATACGTGTGCATGTGTCTTTATAGCAGCATGATTTATAGTCCTTTGGGTATATACCCAGTAATGGGATGGCTGGGTTAAATGGTATTTCTAGTTCTAGATCCCTGAGGAATCGCCACACTGACTTCCACAAGGGTTGAACTAGTTTACAGTCCCACCAACAGTGTAAAAGTGTTCCTATTTCTCCACATCCTCTCCAGCACCTGTTGTTTCCTGACTTTTTAATGATTGCCATTCTAACTGGTGTGAGATGGTATCTCATTGTGGTTTTGATTTGCATTTCTCTGATGGCCAGGGATGATGAGCATTTTTTCATGTGTCTTTTGGCTGCATAAATGTCTTCTTTTGAGAAGTGTCTGTTTATATCCTTTGCCCACTTTTTGATGGGGTTGTTTGTTTTTTTCTTGTAAATTTGTTTGAGTTCATTGTAGATTCTGGATATTAGCCCTTTGTCAGATGAGTAGGTTGCAAAAATTTTCTCCCATTTTGTAGGTTGCCTGTTCACTCTGATGGTAGTTTCTTTTGCTGTGCAGAAGCTCTTTAGCTTAATTAGATCCCATTTTTCAATTTTGACTTTTGTTGCCATTGCTTTTGGTGTTTTAGACATGAAGTCCTTGCCCATGCCTATGTCCTGAATGGTAATGCCTAGGTTTTCTTCTAGGGTTTTTTTGGTTTTAGGTCTAACGTTTAAGTCTTTAATCCATCTTAAATTAATTTTTGTATAAGGGGTAAGGAAGGGATCCAGTTTCAGCCTTCTGCATATGGCTAGCCAGTTTTCCCAGCACTATTTATTAAATAGGGAATCCTTTCCCCATTGCTTGTTTTTCTCAGGTTTGTCAAAGATCAGATAGTTGTAGATATGTGGCATTATTTCTGAGGGCTCTGTTCTGTTCCATTGGTCTATATCTCTGTTGTGGTACCAGTACCATTCTGTTTTGGTTACTGTAGCCTTGTAGTATAGTTTGAAGTCAGGTAGCGTGATGCCTCCAGCTTTGTTCTTTTGGCTTAGGATTGACTTGGCAATGCAGGCTCTTTTTTGGTTCCATATGAACTTTAAAGTAGTTTTTTCCAATTCTGTGAAGAAAGTCATTGGTAGCTTGATGGGGATGGCATTGAATCTATAAATTAGCTTGGGAAGTATGGCCATTTTCATGATATTGATTCTTCCTACCCATGAGCATGGAATGTTCTTCCATTTCTTTGTATCCTCTTTTATTTCATTGAGCAGTGGTTTGTAGTTCTCCTTGAAGAGGTCCTTCACATCCCTTGTAAGTTGGATTCCTAGGTATTTTATTCTCTTTGAAGCAATTAATAGACATTCTGACTTGTATGAGATGATATCTCATTGTGGTTGTGATTTGTATTTCTGTAATGATCAATAATGTTGAGCTTTTTAAAAAAAATATGGGGTGGGGGGAGGGGGGAGGGATAGCATTAGGAGATATACCTAATGCTAGATGAAGAGTTAGTGGGTGCAGTGCACCAGCATGGCACATGTATACATATGTAACTAACCGGCACATTGTGCACATGTACCCTAAAACTTAAAGTATAATAATAATAAAAAATGCATGTTCACCTCATGTATGTCTTCTTTTGAAAAGTGTCTGTTCATGTCCTTTGCCCACATTTTAATGGGGTTGTTTCCTCCTTTTTAATTTGTTTAAATTTCTTCTAGACTCTGGATATTAGACCTTTATCAGATGGATAGTTTACACAATTTTTCTCTCATTCTGTAGCTTGTCTGTTTACTCAGTTTCTTTTGCTGTGCAGAAGCTCTTCAGTTTAATTAGGTCCCATTTGTCAATTTTTGCTTTTGTTCCAATTGCTTTTAGCATCTTCATCATGAAGTCTTTGCCCCTGCCTATGTGCTGGGATAACTGGCTCGCCATATGCAGCAAATTGAAACGGGACTCTTTGCTTACCATAGAATTGAGAGTGCAAAAATAAACACTTAAATTTATGTTCAATTGATTTTTAATAAAAAGGAAGGCAATTTAATGAGAGAAAAGATTGTATTTTCAACAAATGGTGCTGGAACAACTGTACCTATAAATGACAACAAGTTGTATTTCATCAAAATTTAAAACTTTCCACTTCAAAACATATTATTAAGAAAATAAAAATACAAACTACAGGTATAGAAGAAAATACTTGCAAATAGTGTATATCCTAAAAAATCTGTAAAGAATTCTTACAACTCAATAATAAGACAAAAACCCAATAATAAATGGGCAAAAGATTTGAACAGGCATTTCACCAAAGAAGATACATAAAATATGCTTAAGAAACATGCTTAAGTTATTGAGGAAATGCAATTTAAAACCATAATAAGGTGTCACTTTTATATCCACCAGAGTAGCTAAAATACAAAATACCACAATAACTGTTTTTGAAGTTTTAGAGAAATTGGAACCTTCATATACTGTTGTTAAAAACTATATTTTACAGCTACTTTGTAAAACAGTTAATAGTCTTACAAAATAAAACATCGACTTGCTACAATACCTCGTAAAACAGTTGATGTCCACATGATTACTTGTGAGTGAAAGTTTATGACAGTATTATTAATAATAGCCAAAAAGTGGAAACAACCTAAATGTCCACCAAATGGTGAATAGATAAGAATAAACAATAATTTTATACAATGGAATTCTATTCTTCAATTCAAAGGTATAAAGTACTGGTACATTCTAAAGCCTGGCTGAACCTTTAAACACGTTATGTTAACTAAAAGAAGCCAAACCCAGACACCACATATTGTATGATCCCATTTTAATGAATTGCCGGAAAAGACACCTCTATAGAGGCAGAAACCGTAAGTGTTTTCCTGGGCTTGGGATGGGGACAAAGATTGACTGCAAATGAGTTGGAGGGAATTTTAGGGAATGATGGAAATGTTTTCAGTCTAGATTTTGGTGATGCTTGCATAGCTCTATAAATAGACTATAAGTCATTGAATTGTACACTTTCAATGGGTGAAGTTTCTGGTGTGTACATTATGTACCTTATTAAAGCTGTAAAATATGAATCTGCTAATAGTCATAAAATCAGTCTAATTTTTGTCCACCACTAGTCTAGATAAGTAAAAGTAGAATCATGTACTTTAGTGCCATTAAGCATTAGCCAGCTTGTAATATTATTTTAAAAAGTATTTTTCTGATCCTTACACTCAACATGGGATAATATTGGCTTTATAAGGCTTTTATGATCTGTCTTGTATGTCATGAAGACAATTTTGCTCCATAGGTGATAAAGACAGTTTTAACTGAATAAGAAATCAAAAAACATATAATTAATAAAGCCAAATTGTGAATACAAATTGTTTCAGAAATAATCACAAATTTAGTGACCATGTAATTGCAGTATATTCCCTTGAGAAATAGTAGAATAACATTTCCAGCAATAAATAATAGCTATAGTAAATAACAAGTGCATTTATTTATGGCATATTAATAGACTATAGTCCACATATAGGAATATTTGAAATTGGGAGCTATTGGTCAAAGAGTACAAAGTTTCAGTTTTGCAAGATGAATAACTTCCGGAGAGCATGGTGACAATAGTTAACAATACTTTCTTGTGTAGTTGAAATTTGCTAAGAAAGTAGATCTTAAATGTTCTCACCACACACACACACACACACACACACACACACACACACAAAGGAAAATGTTACCATGTGAGAAGATTGATATGTTAATTAGCTTCATTGTGATCATCATTTCACAATGTGTATGTACATTACATCAAGTTATATGCCTTAAATATATACAATTTTGTCAATCATACCTCATTAAAGATAAAAGAGGAAATACAACCTAGCACTGTGGTTTATCAATGACTTTTAAAGAGATCTGACAACTGGAAAATATATTTTTTAAAGTATATATTTATGAAGCAGAACAATCAAAACATAGACTTATAAAGTCAAATCTAGAAGCAATTATTTAACTTTTATCTGTGTGTCAGTGCACTTCAATTGCTATTTTAATAATAGAAAATGTCTATATATGTAAATTCCAAAGACATATTTTGCATTACATTTACATGAGAATTAGGGCACGGCTTAAGACAAATATGTAATATTCAGTATATTCTGAAGCTAAAGGATTTCAGGTATTAACAAAATTATGTTTCACCTCTAGATATGAGTAATGTGCTTTCAAATAGACAAGTAAAATGTTGAGCTATATGCTACTTAGAGAAACACTATAACAGTAAGCTGTTGAAAACTGTGATAAATTTAAAAATGCCATAAATAAAAGTATAATCTTTAATACATTTAAAGCAAAATATTTTTGTTATCTAAATAAAATATAGTAATAATTTCTGCTTAAGGAATTGCAGAACTAGAATGAGTGTCAACTCCCACTTTACAATGAAGGAGATGAAACAAATCTTCAAATTCATAATTTTTCATGAACTTGTGGGGCGTTTGAGGTTTCAGGGCAAACAACTGTCTCCACACTCAAAGAGCAACATGAGCACTGGCTTCCTTAAAGAAGACACAAACAGGAGACAGTAAACAGAATCCATCCTTGATGATCAGTGATTTGGCAGAAACTGGACGGACACCGGAAAACTGTGAATCCACGAAGTCCACAAAAACTAGAAGAGTCTGGATGGTTTTCTTTCTATGCACCTCACGAGGTGCTCATGGAAAAGACTGAAGAGTGTCCTTCAAAAGTTCCCCTTATGTTGCAGACCAGAGGAAGGAGAACAGCAGCCACTTTAAGAGGTCATAAAATTCCACACAGACCCTTCCCCCTATTATCCCTATAGAACAAAATCATCAATCTCTGTGTGTTGGAGAGGGGTACCCATACTTAGTGCACTGGTTAAAATCCATTTTGACTGGGGGCAAGGAATAGATAAAATCTATTCTGGGGACAGGGCAGGAACGAGTGCTGGAACAAAAACTGTTGCTGGAGGAATAATAAGAGGACTGAGAAAGCTATACCCCTGAGACCTAAGCCTACTGCGCTTGCTTGTGATGTGCTTAGAAGGATACGCTATTCTTTGTTTTCTGTTTTCATGAACATTTGTATATATTTTGAGACGGAGTCTTGCTCTGTCGCCCAGGCTGGAGTGCAGTGGTGCGATCTTGGCTCACTGCAAGCTCCGCCTCCCAGGTTCACACCATTCTCCTGCCTCAGCCTCCCAAGTAGCTGGGACTACAGGCGCCTGCCACCACGCCCAACTAATTTTTTGTGGTTTTTTTAGTAGAGACGGGGTTTCACTGTGTTAGCCAGGATGGTCTCGATCTCCTGACCTCGTGATCTGCCCCCCTCGGCCTCCCAAAGTGCTGGATTTACAAGCATGTGCCACCATGCCCAGCCTATATTCATTTTTTATATACTTTAAGTTCTGGGATACATGTGCAGAACATGCAGGTTTCTTACATACGTATACATGTGCCATGGTGGTTTGCTGTATCCATCAACCTGTCATCTAAGTTAGGTATTTCTCCTAATGCTACCCCTCCCCTCGCCCCCAACCCCTTGACAGGCCCCAGTGTGTAATGTTCCCCTCCCTGTGCCCATATGTTCTCATTGTTTAGCTCTCACTTATGAGTGAGAACATGTAGTATTTGGTTTTCTGTTCCTGTGTTAGTTTGCTGAGAATGATGGTTTCCAGTTTCATCCATGTCCCTGCAAAGGACATGAACTGATTCTTTCTTATGGCTGCATAGTATTCCATGGTGTATATGTGCCACATTTTCTTTATCCAGTCTGTCACTGATGGGCATTTGGGTTGGTTCCACGTCTTTGCTATTGTGAATAGTGCTCCAGTAAACATACGTGTGCATGTCTTTATAGTAGAATGATTTATAATCCTTTGGTTATATACCCAGTAATGGGATTGCTGGGTCAAATGGTATTTCTGGTTCTAGATCATTGAGGAATCGCTACACTGCCTTCCACAAAGGTTGAACTAATTTACACTCCCACCAACAGTGTAAAAGTGTTCCTATTTCTCCACATCCTCTCCAGCACCTGTTGTTTCCTGACTTTTTAATGATCGCCATTCTAAATGGCATGAGATGTCATCTCATTGTGGTTTTGATTTGTGTTTTTCTAATGACCAGTGATCATGAGCTTTTTTTCATATGTTTGTTGGCCACATAAATGTCTTCTTTTATTATGTTTTTATGTGGCTTTTTGTGACTTTTTTTTTGTTTGTTTTTGAGATGGAGTCTCACTCTGTCGCCAGGCTGGAATGCAGTGGCACCATCTCTGCTCACTGCAACCTCCGCTTCCTGGGTTTAAGCGATTCTCCTGCCTTAGCCTCCCGAGTAGCTGGGACTACAGGCACGCACCACCATGCCCAGCTAATTTTTGTATTTTTTAGTAGAGACGGGATTTCACCGTGTTGGCCAGGATAGTCTTGATCTCTTGACCTCGTGATCGCCCGCCTCAGCCTCCCAAAGTGCTGGGATTACAGGCGTGAGCCACTGAGCCCAGCTTTGTGACTCTTATAATTGGATTAAATATCTCATTACATATACTTCCATTGTGACCTCTACCTGCCTCTATTAAAGTATATATTATGCCATTACTAGTTAATTGTTTGCTTATATCTGTCAATAAACAGTAACTTCCTGAAGAGCAGCAGCCTTGTCTTATTCCCTCAACAGCACAATACAGGGCACAGAGTTAGCAATCAGTACTTACTTGCTAAGTGAATAAATAATATCAAGAGAGAGACTATCCCTCATTATCCATGAAGGACATTGCAAATGAGGGTTGAAGCTTTGTTTAGGCGTGTTCATCAGTCCTCCCTTCATTATTTAGGGACTAGTTTTTCACTGCATTATTCTGAATCCTTATTTCTTTCATACATTCTTACAGTCTCTCTGCCATGCAGCATTTTTTTTTTTTTGAGACGGAGTCTTGCTCTGTTGCCCAGGCTGGAGTGCAGTGGTGCGATCTCGGCTCACTGCAAGCTCTGCCTCCCGGGTTCACGCCATTCTCCTGCCTCAGCCTCCCGAGTAGCTGGGGCTACAGGCGCCCACCACCACGCCCAGCTAATTTTTTGGGTTTTTAGTAGAGACGGGGTTTCACCGTCTTTGCCAGGATGGTCTCAATCTCCTGAGCTCGTGATCCGCCCACCACAGCCTCTCAAAGTGCTGGGATTACAGGCTTGGGCCACCGCGCCCAGCCTGCCATGCAGCTTTCTTAATGTTTTCACCGTATCTGGAGAGTCAGTGAATAGAGACCAAGTCAGTGACATTCATGGGGACTGTCCTAACAGCACTCACATTATGAACACTGTTACACATTCTACTCCCTTCCATATTGCCTACGCCCATCTAGCATATTTCTACGAATTGAAATAGATATTTGTCTTGTTTATTTGTTTGTCTTGAGCATGTTGGAAAATGGTATGTTTTTATGGAAATATGGTAGAGCATCTACAGTGAGAGCACATCTTTTTATTGCTTGTCCTTTAGAGCCACTTATGGCTGTTTGCCTTTGGCCCTCATTTTCCCCCTGTTGAGTGGAGATGTTACACTGCAGCCAATAAATTAGTAATTTTTTCAATCTCTCAATTTGGGGACAGTCTTTACAATTTGGTCACACACAGGCTCATGCCAATAGGATGAGGTCATGTTGCTTAGCGATATTAATTTTGTTATTCATGCCTTTTTCTTCTTTAGCCAGAAAACACAAGTCATTTAGTTTTTGGCCTATGCTACCCGGTTTGGTTGTTGATTTTTTTAATGTCCTGTTACATCTTACCAACTAGGCTACACAATTTTCAAGGATAATGAAAAGGTCTTATGCTTTTCAGATAATGATCACTTGATAAATGTTTGACGATTAAGATCATGTATTCTATATCATATTACCCTATGCAATGATAATAAATACAAATGTTACCATTTATTAAATATATGACATATTCTTAGGTACATAAACGCATGGCTTCATTTCAGACACAAAATAAGTCTGTGGGATATTATCCATATTTTACAGATAAAGAAACTGAAGCTTAGAGAGTGTCTTAGACTGTTCAGGCTGCTGTAACAGAAGTATCATAGACTGGGTACATTACACACAGCAAATATTTATTTCTTACAGTTCTTGAGGCTCAGATACTCTACATCAAAGCACTTGTAGATTTGGTGTCTGCTGAAGGCCTGATTTCTGGTTCATAGATGGCTATCTTCTTGCTGTGTGCTCACATGGTAGAATGGACAAACAAGCCCCCTGGGGTCTTTTTTATAAGGGCACTAAACCCATTCATGAGAGCTTCATCCTCTTGACCTAATTACCTCCCAAAGGTCCCACTTGCAAATATCATCAAACTAGGAATTAAGTTTCAACATATGAATTTTGGGAAAATGCAAATATTCAGTCTATAGCAAAGAGGTAAGTTACTCAGGCCCAAGGTCACATAGGTATTCATGATTGAAATCTAAATCTGTCTGATTTCTAAACACATGTCCATTATACTACCAGGTGGTTTAAAATATTATTTTTTGTAGTAGACCCTTTTTAAAGCAAAATTTATCCAAGTACAGTTTATAAAGATAAACGCAGAACTTCTTTGTTAGGTAAGAAGTCAAACATACTGTTGATTATCCCTTTTCTCACTTGTCACAGTGGCAGGCAGGGAATGACTAGGGCTCTAAAGTGTAAAGTCCCTTACTCTTATTTGCTACCTTCTTCACTCTGACCATTTCATATTTGCATAGGGAAGAGATTGCACTGAAATGACGAAATCACATCTTATTTTTGCCACACTTCCTTATCCAGAGAGAATTTTTTTTTTTTTTTTGAGACGGAGTCTCACTTTGTTGCCCAGGCTGGAGTGCTGTGGCGAGATCTCAGGTCACTGCAACCACCACCTCCTGGGTTCAAGCGATTGTCCTGCCTCAGCCTCCCGAGTAGCTGAGATTACAGGCGCCCACCACCACGCCCGGCTAATTTTTGTATTTTTAGTAGAGATGAGGTTTCACCATGTTGGTCAGGCTGGTCTCGAACTCCTGACCTCAGGTGATCCACCCGCCTCAGACTCCCAAAGTGCTAGGATTACAAACACGAGCCCCCACGCCCAGTCCAGAGAGAATATTTTATGAAATAGTTTCCATGCAACTGTTTCAACCAAGTGCTGTAGGTAGCTCATAATACTTTGGATAGCAATGCAGTTTTGTTTCCCTCAGGAGGAGTTTCAAGCAAAAAAAAAAAATATTTGTGTTTCTCAGTAATGAGGAATATCTGGAGAAACTATTGAAAAACGGTAATTTCCTGAAAATGAAATTTACGTGATTACAAGAATGTGATACAGCATGAGGAAAAGCCTATATGTGAAGATAAGCTGGTTTACAAAGGAAAACCATCAAATTGACTTGTCTTCTTCCCATTTTCATACTACAAGAATGAAAAAAACAGAATGCAGTTTATGATGTGTGTCTGACACTGGATCTTCTTGGGTAGGTTTCAGATACCGTGAGGTTAATCTGAAGCAAAGATAGAAATCATGAGGCAGATGTCAAAGCTCTAGGTCTAGAATCCTGAAATCACAGCAGAACACGGAATAATAATTCAAGGTATGGATGCAGAATGGGGTATATCCTTGACAGATAGCAAAGAAACTATACCATGCTCTCAAAGGTCCAAAGTTCAGCCCAGTTTCTAATCTTATTTATCTTATAGATTTGTCATAGCATTTAAAGCCAAATGGTATTATTTATGCATAAATGTACATGAAAAGATCACTTATTGTGTTGCACTAGTGTACCTTGCAGATTCTCTTCACTCCTGTTGGTTCTTTTCATGAGACACAAATAATTGCAGAAAACCAATCACTGTGACTTGGGCAAAAAGATTCTGAGGAAGTAGTCACTAAAATGAATACAAGTCATGAAAGTTATAGAAAAGAAAAATGCTACTTCTTTTCTTCTTCTTCTTCTTCTTCTTTTTTTTTTTTTTTTTCCTGAGATGTAGTCTCACTCTGTTGCCCAGGCTGGAGTGCAGTGGCACTATCTTGGCTCACTGCAACCTCCGCCTCCCAGGTTCAAGTGATCCTCCTGCCTGAGCCCCCCTAGTAGCTGGGAATACAGGCACATGCCACCATACCCAGCTAATTTTTTGTATTTTTAGTAGAGACGGGGCTTCACCATGTTGGCCAGGCTGGTCTTGTACTCCTGACCTCAGGTGATCCACCCGCCTCGGACTCCCAAAGTGCTGGGATTACAGGTGTGAGCCACTGCGCCCAGCAGAAGAATGCTACATTTAACCCTTACGGACTTGAAGATTCATGATCTATATGATTACAAACTAGTCTCTAATGCTAAGCCTTATTCTTCTCTTTTAAAAATGCAGTATTTTGAGGATGTGCACATGAGGGTGATCATAAACAAAAAATTACTCTTAATGCTTCTACTTTGAGCTATTATACTGTAACTTCCACTCTTATTCCATAGGTTGTTATGGACTTGTTAGTCTCACGGTCAAGCCCAAAATCAATGGGGTGGAGGAGTATATTCTGCTCATAGGGAAGACCTTGTCATGGATTGAAGGCAATAACTGTGAACAATCAGTGTCTATCACACAACTCTTAAAAGGTAACCATTGTAAAAATATATGTGTATTGCTTTCATACTATGCGTATTAAAGTTGAATTTTGATAGATAACACAACTCCCACCTTTCTTTCATAAATATTATATATTCACATTGCATTCTGGGATCTGGTTCTATAATTGGAGCAATAATATTTTTTCCTTCAAGTTTACTTACGTACAAACTTGGTTTAAATGAAATTTGGAATATGTTAAATGCAAATCAAGTTCAGATATATACATAACTATTTCTATTATCCTGCTCCTTTAATTGTAATTAATTTGACTATTTTAAAAAAACATTAATTAATTATCTACCTTATTATTCCTACATCAAACCACCCCATGTATTGTGGAACTTACAGCAAGACAAGTAGTAGATAATTCATTCTGATTAACAATGCCACACTTGAATATATTTTGAGAATTCTAAATAATGAGTTCATGGAAGAGACTGATTTGAAATATTCCTTCAGTATTCAATGTAAAACAATGCACTCTGAAAGAATACAATCTTAACATAAATTCTAAATGAGGAAGGGTGAAATTGTTGAATAAAATTAATGATGTATTTTCCAATCCCTTCTTGAAAACACTTTTATAAATACGAGTTGTTGTCATGATTTTTCTTAATTGTAAAGACTATACTAGATGCCCAAGGAGTTCATATGCCATGAAGACAGGCCTTAAAAGCACTTCAAGGTCAATATTAGCCCACCTTCTTTTTTTTTTTTTTTTAGATGGAGTCTCACTCTGTCGCCAGGCTGGAGTGCAGTCGCACGATCTCGGCTCCCTGCAACCTCTGCCTCCTAGGTTCAAGCAATTCTCCTGCCTCAGCCTCCAAAGTAGCTGGGACTACAGGCACGCACCACCACACCCAGCTAATTTTTGTATTTTTAGTAGAGACAGGGTTACCATGTTGGCCAGGATGGTCTCAATCTCTTGACCTCGGGATCCACCCGCCTTGGCCTCCCAAAGTGCTGGGATTACAGTCATGAGCCACCGTGCCCAGCCAGCCCACCTTCTTATAAAAAGTTCTATATAGTAGATTCTTTTATAGATAACTAACACATATCCCAGGGAATAAAGAACATGGAGGAAATAGATACATTGATCACCCCATCCCTATTGATGGGATGTGGGGTTATTGTCCAGAATATACCTTTACACACTGTAATCTCAAACTGAGCTTTTCCTACTAACTAGCTGTGTGATCTTGGGCCAGTCACTATCAATCGGTAACACAGTATTCTCATTGTAGCTTTGATATCCAAGCACCTCTGACATTTGACCAAACCTCAGTTTCCTTTTGAGATGATAAAAATAATTCTAGTATCTCCATCATGATGTTGCTGTGATGGTTACAATAGAAAGTGTATGTGAAAACACTTTGTAAACTGTTAGGCATTACATAAATGCTAAAAGGAGCATCTCTCCAGCTTACTTTAAAAAGTGGTGAGAAAAATGTGAGTCAATTCATGTCAATGAATGAATGAAGGAATGAAGGGGTTCCACCCTTCTCATCCTCATTTGTTTGTGCCTTTATCATTGAACTTGTAATAGTTTGCCATACACTGCAGAAATTTATGTTTCTGTCTCACCTACTAGATTCTAAGTAATTGGAAGGCTTAAGCTATATTACTTCATTTATCTCTTTCTTTCATGTAATGCCTATGGCACACGGTGGTTCCTCAGCAGTCTGAATTATGATGTGCCAGACACTGTTCTCAGTACTTCACGTATATTCATTCATTTAAACCTCAAATGTTCAAGTGAGAATGATGAAAGCTTAGGTGAATTCATTGACAATGAGGATGGAAAATGAATTAAAGAGGATGATTGAGCAGGCCCTCTTAACAGTTTTTTAAAAATCTTCTATCAAATTCAAGGAAATAGTTTGGGTAACACTTTATCCAAGAAAGCTTTGAGATTTTATTATCTTTAATAATTTTACCCTTTGTTCACGACTATATGTTTCTGTCCTATGAAATAAAACACAGGACAGGCTCCCAAGTCCTCTGATTTTTTAATTCCATGCTTATCAGCTTCCAGAGAAATTTTGTTAGGAGAAATATGTCCCAGGTCCAGTTCTATGCTGTAGTGAGCTTTGGACAAATCACTTTCCCTTGTTTTCCTCCTTATGTATTCCTAAGTTGTAGGAAATAATAATGGCTATTTCCTTAAGACAAAATACATAATTCATAACCATATTAGTGAGTTTCTTGGAGCAAAGTTACTATATTTAAGTGTGACTATTAATAGTGTTTATATAAGCAGTAATCCTGCTTTCACATGTCCTAAGTAGAAGAAAATGTATTTTTTATATTCCAAGTGAAAATCTAAACATTAAAGGATAATCAGATATAAAAAATAAAAATAAATTCAGTATGTTATCCAGAGTTTCATTAGCTATGTAATACTTATCTTTAAAAGTACCAGCAGGACAACAGACCCTGTGGATTCTGTGAGGGGAAGGTGTTGTTGCTATCCCAAAGCTCTGAGATCAAGGATAAGCTATTGCTGTAAACATGAAGGGGAAGTTGCTTATACTATAATCCCTGAGTTGGCAGCAAGAGAAAGGATGACTCCATTTACTATACTTCCCCAGATCCTCCATGGGATTCTTGGATACCTTAGAGAAAGAGCTATGGCAACAAGAACCAGCTTAAAAAATACATAAGGTTCAGCCTCAGGATCGCCTACTAGTTGAAACTCCTAGAAAAGTCATCATTTCATTATATACTCTTCCTGGAATTGACACGACTCCAAGGTTCCAATCTATTCATTGTCTATTTGTTCTGTTTTGTTTTGCCCTGGTTGAAGGTACATTGCACCCAAATAATTGGCTTAAAATTGGCAAAATTCAAACAAACTTATTACCTAACATCAGGTAGACCACCAAAAATTCCTGGCCATTTTAGTGAACTCAATTCATGTGTTTTGCTGATTTTTTTTTCTTGATGATCTGCATAGAAAAATCTGCTTGAAGGACTTCTGGTAGTGAAGCTGCAATGGCAGTCTGCTACTGGGGCAACTGTCACAAAGAAAATGCAAAGAACATAAAGAATTTCTCATATTTTCCTATTATATTTAAACAGAACTGGTGTTAAATATTTTTTATTCATAATAGCCCTTCATGTTCTTATATCTACTTCTATTTTCTATGCATTATTTATAGAGCAGTGGATAACTTCTGAATTGTCTTATAAAATTTAAAATAAATTTGAATCCATTCAAATTCTGAAAATTCTTGAAATAAAAGTTACAGTCGAGATACATGAAGTGTCATTTAAATATAAGGTGAGGAGCTCGCACATAACTAAACATGTGGAGGCTCCTGAAAGGTGCTGCACCCAGGGAGGGCATGGAAGCTCTGCACCCCTTTCCCATACCTTGCCCTGCACATTTCTTCATCTGTATTCTTTGCAATATCTTTTCTTTTAAGAGATGGAATCTCTCTCTGATGCCCAGTCTGGAGTGCAGTGGTGCTATTATAGCTCACTGCAGACTTGAACTCTGAGGCTCAAGTGATCCCAGCCTCCCAAGTCGCTGGAATTATAAGCATGAGACACTGCACCCAGCTTGTAATATCTTTTATAATAAACTAGTAAACATAAAAAATAAATAAAAATAAAAATAAAGTGATTGATTTTATAATGTGAAGACTTGAACTCATCCATTCAAATAAGTGTCATTCTCTTCTAAGTGTTCCACATGAGAGAACGTATCATATGACCATAATTATTATATTATTATGATGAATACATAATTAATATATTATTATATTAATATGATTATTAATCATCATATCATCATTATTTCAGTGAAGAAAGCTACTGATCAAATAATTCTTTTTTCTTTTTTCTTTTCTTTTCTTTTCTTTTTTTTGTGAGACAGAGCCTTGCTCTGTTGCCCAGGCTGGAGTGCAGTGGTGTAATCTTGGCTCACTGCAACCTTCACCTCCCGGGTTTAAACAATTCTCCTGCCCCAGCCTCCCAAGTAGCTGGAATTACAGGTGCATGTCACCACGCCCAGCTAATTTTTGTATTTTTAGTACAGACGAGGTTTCACCATGTTGGTCAGGCTGGTCTTGAATTCCGGACCTCAGGTGATCCACCTGCCTCAGCCTTCCAAAGTGCTGAGATTACCGGTGTGAGCCACCGTGCCCAGGCCAGCTCAAATAAGTCTTGAATCTTCTTCATTCTTGGAGTTACCTCTGGAGCCTGTTTGTCATTCATTTATCCATGTGATCCATAATTTAGCATCTTCTTTGTGCCAGTAACCATTTCTGTATTACTCTCATCATTTGTAGATGGATACGATTTTCTTAAACTAAAACTAAAAAGTAATTTGAAATTACTCTAATAACTGTAAAATTGACAAATATTTTACACCAAATATTTTGGTGTAAAACATGGTGCAATAATTGGTGAAAACAGCTTTCTCAAGTGGCCTTCAGCTGGCTTCAAATAAAATTCCAGATGATGAATTCCAAAGCTGCTTTGAGCACTGACAATAGTATTGGAATAAGTGTTACTTTGCGAAGACACCTTTATTGGATGTGAAATGCTTAGAATATATTAAAAATAGAATATTTAATTTGCATAAATAGAATGTGCAAATTGTTTTATGTGTACATATCAGTGTTATTTTATATCTTCGACTATACTGCATAGTGTGCTCTTGCTTCATAAAATTAAATCAATGTCTACCATTTCTGTCATCTATTCTATTCATGATAATGTAAACTAAATGTTAGTGAGTTCATCACAGTTGTCATGTAATGTACAATCATTTGTTGAATTTTCCCTGGCCTGTAAAATCACTGGATAGGGGCTCCCTGTAAAACTAAGGCTAGGACCTTTGCAAACAAAACTAGTGTGATAAGGAAAACTTCAAAATTATGCTTTTGATTCCACAGATTTAAGATTGATGCTTCATTATGATATGATATAGTATTCTTAAATGGAGTATCTTATTTTATTGCCAGTATCTACTACTAGCTTATGACTGGAATATTTTCGTTTGATGCCTTCTCACCAGCATGGTTGTTAATCCTCTTTGAAACTTTAAATTATGTTCATGTTATTTTCTCCCACGAGCAGCTGAAAGATGTAATTTGGTTGTCTGATTGTATTTTTTCTTTTCCACATATCAAATTATTTGTCACTATGTCAACACTAAAACGATTAATGCTGTTTGTTGAAACATCAGGAGTATTAATAGTCCTATTAAAATGAGATGGGTTATAAATACTATCAGAGCTGATCAATGCAGCATATTATTATGGAAAGAAAGGTAGCTGCCTAAAGAAAAGATGCACATTCTTCTCAAACGTTGGCTAAGGCAGAATGACTAAGGTTGATTTCACTCACTGTAGAAGCTGTGCATTTCCAATTGTAAAAATAAATTTATACTTAAAAAGAAGCTCCAATAGAGCATACAACATAGCTATCTTGTGAGTAAATGACATATATTTTGTGCTTTGCGTTCTTGTCCATGAGAGTACTGTGGCTACAAAGCCCTGTAGACACCTAGTACAATATAAAAAGTCTGTCAAAACTAAAGAAAGGATGAAAGTCTATGTAGAAAGACAGCACTCCATCACTGAACAGTTATTCTGATCATTTTCTATTGGATTAAATAAAAAGCTGTAATTGCATAAACTCTGGAACCAAATTGCCTGGATTTGAAACCTAGCTTTGCCATTAACTAGTTGTGTTACTCTAAGTAAATTTATTTCACCGCTCTGTGCCTCAGTTTTATCATCTATAAAATGGGAATAGCAATAATAATAATAATTTCATCACAGGGTTGTTGTGAGGATTACATGAATTCATACATATAAGGACTTTGAACAGCACCAGGCATATAGTAAGTGCTCTTATTACTAAACGTTGTTGAGATAATTATTTTGTTTTAGCTGAATAAATAAGATGATGATATTTTCTTTCATGGCTACTATTTGAAAATTTCCTTCATTTTATGTCTTGCTGGTGGTAGTCTGGGTTATATACGTGTATTTTGAATAGAGATTATTTTTAAAAGTTAAATGATAAGTTTGGTTAGTTGACTTATAAGATCTCATCAGGCTCTGAGATGTGATGATACTATAATTCTTGGAAATGCACATGTATATAAATATCTTGTGTATCTCAGGAGTAATTAACCTGTTATTAATCACAATAATCAATAAAATGCCAACTCTGAAAATAGGATCATAAACTACCTACTATTACCAGTCACTTTAGCAATTATGTTAAGACAGAGCTTGGTTTGTATAACGCAAGTCAACATAAAGTGTGAAAGGACAGACATGTTCACTGTGCATAAACGACAAATTATTGAAGAATTAGAATAATTAAAAACTTGTAAATATTTAGGTCTTCTGCAAATAATCTGACATCCCATAACTAAAGGAAAGAAAAGATAATACAAAGCAAACAAAAAATACATTTATTTTGGCATACAAAATAAAACCTTTTATTTCCAGGAAACAAAATTAAGACTATATTTATTTGAAGTATAATGTCTTGTAAGTACTTGGTGTTTGAAAGCAGTCCAATATATACTTGGAAGTGATCACATGTATTACTACAGTTCTAACTATTTCTCAAATATTACTTTTTCTCTTTATCCATTCCCCAAACCACAAATAAAAATATCATTTAACCACTTGGAGTAAACAGACAGAAATAATTCACATTTTGGCTCAGGTTCACAACAGTAGCACTTACTAGTTATATGACATTAGCAATTTACTTCATATCCCCTTAATATATTTTTCAAACGAGGTTAATATATATCTTGTATTAGTTTTACAAGTATAAATTAAGATAACATTTATAAAATACTTGTGCCAGGCACAATAGAAGATACTGATTTATCTTCTATAGATAAATAGAAGATACTCAATAGAAGATATTGATTTGCTGCAAGAGCAGAAAAGGCATATAATAGCATTCATTTTGACAGTTTCTTCATGAGAAGGTTAGATAAATAGCAAACAAAGGTGTGGAGAGCTCAGCCCAGTAAAGAAAGAAAATGGCCTGAGAGAAGTCTGTGATATGCAGTGATCAATGCACTGGTTTATAACTTCTAGGAGCCGAAAGGTGATATCTAATGCATCTTTTATCTTCCACAGCACCCAATACACGTTAACTGCTACATTCTTATTTAAATAGGGATTTAAATAGCAAATTTAATATATGAACATGTGTATGAACATATTGAGGAGAAAGAGAGATTTTATTTGGAAAGTACTGAGTTGACCACATATAAATTAGAAGAATGATTGTAAGGATGAGATGTAAGGCGGGATAATATTGGTGAGTACATGATGTAGAATAGAAACGGCTAAAATATGACAACATAAACGTTAATTCTCTGAAGGATTAGCAACATGAAAGTTACTTTACCTCATGTGTTCTATCAATCGCCATTTTCTAACAATTTTTTTCCTAAATATATTTTAATCTATTACCTACTGCCTATTCCTACTCTTAATATTTTAGTTTTGGCCAGGCGCGGTGGCTCATGCCTGTAATCCCAGCACTTTGGGAGGCCAAGGTGGGCGGATCACCTGAGGTCGGGAGCTCGAGACCAGCCTGACCAACATGGAGAAACCCCATCTCTACTAAAAATACAAAATTGGCCGGGCGTGGTGGCGCATGCCTGCAATCCCAGCTACTCGGGAGGCTGAGGCAGGAGAATCGCTTGAACCCAGGAGGCGGAGGTTGCTGTTAGGCGAGATCACACCATTGCACTCCAGCCTGGGCAACAAGAACGAAACTCCGTCTCAAAATATATATATATATATATATATATTTCAGTTTTAGGCTCTCATCTCTCACCTAGGTTCCTGCAACAATCTCTTAGCTGCTTTTTCTGCCCTTAACCTTCCATTTTCCACACCCTAGGCATAATGTGTTTTTTTCTATAATGCTAATCTTAATATGTCACTTTCCTTCTGAAAACATTTCATTGACACCACATGAACTATATGATTAAGCTCAAATAATAGCATTATCAAGGTAAGATCATGTTGCGTTTTGTGTATGTCTAGAAAAAGGACAATGAGATTATGAAACTGGAGAGTATTAGTAGAGATGGAGACAAGGAGGCAGATTTGAAAGCTATTTGGGAGATATGATGCTCAGAAATTTGTGATTAAGTGGTTGATGAGTGAGAAGAAAGTATAAAAGTTTGAAAGCCTCTTTCTCATCAATGAATATAGGAGTAGGAATAGTAATAAAAGCTTCACATAGGTAGAAATATCTAGAAGGCAGACTGGAGCCTGGAGGAGAGGCCTGGCTGGAAATACAAATGTAGAAGTCAGAAGTTAGGTGGAGTTGAAAAAAAGGAGATGATAGGATTTTCAGTAGAATCAAAAGAGCATTGGCCCAAGATTGAAACTCTGCTAAACACCTACACTTAATTGGAGGATGGAAGGAAGACGAGCACACCAAAAAGGACTGGAAGAAAAAATTGGGTGTTATGAAGTCAATGTATGACACTACAAAGGCCAAGGGAGTAGGGCACTTCAAGAAAGAGGGGATGATCATCAATGTGAAATGCAACAACAAACTTGAATAAGGAAAAGCATGAAAAGCATCTTTGGATTTGAAATAAAATATCTACTGATAACCTGAGCCAGAACACTGAGGATCATAGAATCCAGATGAAGTAAAATAGAGTGTAAAGTAGAGTGATGACGTGAAAAAGCAAGTATAGATTATACTTTCAAATGTTTCATGAGAGACTGAATGAAAGCTAGAGGGGAACATAATATAAAATGGCATTTTGGGGGTTTCTTTGTTGGGGAGAAAAGAGAAAAGTTTTAGAAAAACTACAGACTTAAAGCTCAGGGGAAAATATTTTTATCTCTACATCTCTATATTTATCTACCTACCTATCTATCTATTTATCTATTTAGACTGAAGGGGAAAAAAAAGGAAATCAGTGATGGAACTAGGGCCCAAAGGCAACAGAAATGGACACAAGATGGAGCCAAAGCCATCAGTAGATGTGTAAGCCACAATGTGCATGATTAAATAAGAAGAAAATCTGCTGAGAATCACAAGGGTCAGGAGTAGGAAAATGTGAGGAAAATAAAAAAGCGTGATGAATAAAGATAAGTAAAACATTGACTGTCAATCCTCCGCACACAGAAAATATAGCAAAAACAATGTATTTGATATGATGCTGGCCTGCTGAGTTTTGTGGCACTCTTCAGCACTGTTTAGCTTCCCAGAATATGGGGAGAATATGTTTGCTAATAGTAGTAGGATTTGAAGTTTTGCTGGTTATATTATGTGAAATATCTGAGTGTAAGGCATTCACTATAGTCTGAATATTTGAGCCCCCCATTCATATCTTGAAGTCCTAATACCAAAGGTAATGAAATTAGGAGGTGGGGCTTGTGGGAGGTGATTAGGTCATGAGACTGGGGCCCTTATGAATAGGTTCAGTGCCCTTATAGAAGAGGCCAGAGAGATCCCTCCCCACTTCCATGATATGAGGAGGCAAGGCAGGAAGAAGGTGCCATCTGTGAATCAGAAAGCCCTCACTGGACACTGAACCTGCAGGTGCTTTGGTCTTCTACTTCCCAGCCTACAGAACTGTAAGCAATAAATTTATGATGTTTATAAGCCACACGGTTTATGATATTTTGTTACAGCAGCCCAGGTGAACTGAGACAGAACTGAAGGCGCTAGTTAGAAAGCAAGTAGCTTCAATGATTAATCAAGAGGTCTGGATTGGGCATAGAAGGAAAAATGCAGCAGAGGACTCATCAACTGAGAGAAAATGGAAGGAAAACAGATTGGAGATGTCTATGTGATTTAAAATGTGCAGAGGAAATACAGTAATGAGGGAAATAAAATAACAGGTGGTTGAGATCATTGAGTAGAGTACTTAAATCTAAGATTTCTGAGATGGTTCCAGATGAAATGGGTGGCTGAAGTGATATGAAAATCACTGGAGTTAGGAATGTTCTGGCCGGGTGCAGTGGCTCATGCCTGTAATCCCATTCTGGGAGGCCAAGGTGAGAGGATTGCTTGAGCCCAGGAGTTCAAGACTAGACTGGGCCATGTAGTGGGACCCTATCAACAACAACTACAACAACTAAAACTACAACAACTTAGCCAAGAATTGTGGCACGCATTTGTAAGTGCCAGCAACTTGGGAGGCTGAAGCTGAAGGATCACTTGAGCCTGGAAGGTCGAGGCTGCAGTGAGAATATGCCACTGCACGCCACCTACGTGAAAGAGCAAGACCCTGTCTCAAAACAAAAAAAAAAAAAAAGAAGGTTCAAAACTCTGCCAGAAATTGTGATAAATGGGTCATTAATATGAATACTGAAATTTTCTAAGATTATGGCAGAAATTGTGAATTTCTGCCATAATTGTATGATTGTGAATCACACAATCACTTGGTATTGTAATGTAATCTTTACATAATTACCTACTCTCTAAACCAGAGACATGCCTATAAACTAGAGAAAGTTGAGTTGGAGGGGGCAGAGGTCAGTCTCCAGACACCTCAGCATTTGAGAGAATCAATAACAGCACATGTCTGAACCATTCTTTATTTTTTATGGTGTTAATAATGTGCTGGTTAAGGGCCTGGATTTTATTGCTAGATACTTGGAGTCAAGATCTGATTTTGTCATTTACTGGCAATGGAAATTTTTTTTGTTTTTTTAAATGTTGTGATGATCACAGTTCTTAGCATATGGGAGGTTTGTGAAGTTAAAGCTAGATAAAGCATTTCACATTGTGCTAGGTATGTAGTTACTGTTCAGTAAATGTTAGTTATAATTACTGTTAATACCAGGAATGTTTTCAGGAAAACTATACGTTTTAGGGTTATTCTTGGATGGGAATATTGTCAGGAGTTTTTGAACATATTCCTTGAAAACACCAACAGATTCTTCTGTTGGGATTTCATTTGGCTGGTTGGTCAAGCTTTCCCGTTCTTTGTTAAAAGATATGAACCTATATTTGCATGCATTGCTCATGTAAACACATACACATTCACAAAAATGTTGAGCAAAGTGTGTTCAACAAATCTGTGTTTTTGTTAAACTTAGTAATTAGTGTTTATCATGACAACTATGGCTACAAAGAATAAAAGGAAGATAAATATTTTAGGAACTCATTACTTAGAATTTTTTAAAATTTTTAGGTTCAGAGGTACATGTGCAGGTTTTTTATATGAGCAAACTGCATGTCACGGGAGTTTGGGGTACAGATTGTTTTATCACTAACATAATATGCATAGTACCCAATAGTTAGTTTTTTTATCGTCACCCTGCTGCCACCCTCCACCCTTGAGTTGGCCCCAGTGTTGTTGTTCCCTTCTTTGTGATCAAGTGTACTCAGTGTTTAGCTCCTACTTATAAGTGAGAACATGTGGTATTTGATTTTCTGTTTCTGCATTAGTTCACTTAGGATAATGGCCTCCAACTGCATCTGTGTTGCTGCAAAGGACATTGGTTTTTTTCTTGTGGTGAATTTTAATTTTTATTTCAAAGACTATTTTATACATTTATTAAATTATAGTGTTTTACAGACAAAATGTTGTATTTCAATTTTGAGAATTGAAAATGTTCTATGCTTTTTAACAAATTATATAAAAGGGGGTAAGATGAACACATTTCAAATTATACTGAATACTTCAGAAAAAACTTCTAATCAGTTATTCATACAATCGTGATTTTCTAATTATGCCGTGTATATTGCAGAATATACGTGAATGATATGGATAATTATATGGTTTCGCTGTGCCCCCACCCACGTCTCATCTTGAATTGTAGTTGTCATAATCCCCATGTGTCATGGGAGGGACCAGGTGGAGAGAATTGAATCACGGGGCCAGTTTCCCCCATCCTGTTCTCATGATAGTGAGTTAATTCTCACAAGATGTGATGGTTTTATGAGGGATTTCTCCCTTCACTCTGTACTCATTCTTCTCCTTCCTGCAGCCATGTGAAGAAGGATGTGTTTGCTTCCCCTTCCACCATGATTGTAAGTTTCCTGAGGCTTCTCTAGCCCTGCAGAATTGTGAGTCAATTAAAGCTCTTTTCTTTATAAATTACCCAGACTCGTGCAGTTCTTTACAGCAGTGTAAGAATGGACTAATACAGAAAATGACAGAGAAATGTATTTCTCATTATCCATGAAATGATAATAATTACTTTAAAAATAAATCTTACATATCTGAATTATACTGTTTCTCTAAAGAAAGATTCACAAAGCAGTCAGGAACACTTGGTGAGTATATGCTCTCTGTCAAATTATGTGGATAGAAAAAGTATGTAAATTTTAAAATGCTTCCTGAGATAATTTATTTGCTTCAAGATCTCTTGTATCTTTGTGCTAAAATTGATGACAGGTAAAAAATTATGTATAAGTTATGCACTAACTAGAAAGGAATATTTTAGATTCACAGAACTGAAGTCACAAATCTTCTCCATAAGATTGAATCATAGCATATAAATTAAACAATCAAAATAAAACATTATTCAGTTTCAGCTAGATCATAAATCTCAGCTATGACCTTAAACACATAGCAACTACACAGCTAAAACAATATTTTAGAAGAACATCTAATATGGGAAAATAGTGATGGTGTATTATTAAGTAAAAAATGTTACAGGGTAGGAACCCTATTTGTGGACAAAATGTAGACATGTAATACATTTAAGTAGCGATAACTGTGGAAAAACATACAATCATGTCAGGTCTTTTGATCGTTGAGTCATTGTACTATAGATATTTTCTTGGTTTTAATATTTTTCTCAGTACTACTTTTATAGCCAGAGGTGAAAGTAACAATTTTTAAAAGTTTTTAGAGTAGCAATTATGTGTAGAAAACCTGGTATAATATAGTCTGTTATAAGGATATGCTGATCCTGTTCCCCAGCATTCAATGCTGGGTTTGTAATGGGGTTCTCTGCCAGTAGAATTCTTTAGTGCTGCAGTAATAGAAATGGCTGCAATTCTACAATGTCTTGGGGAAACCTTGACAAGGTCCTAAAATGGAATTACAGATTAAGAATTTTTACATTTCTATTCTCCACAGTATGAAAATAATGAGTCGCTTACAAGTCTTAAAGACATTCATGAATGTTTCAAATCCTTTCTCAAGTAGAATTGCAACATAGACTACAATGGAAACAATGTGGATATAGAGAGAATAATGTTATCATTCCCATTTCCACATGCTAATTTACAACCAGGCCTTGATTTAGAAATGCAATGGCAGTTGAAAAGCAATTATGGATCACTTGGATGCAGTTTTCCTGATGAAGTCTATTATAGTTTCAGGAGTCAATAAACCCCTAAATTATCTTGAATTTTTTTAAACAACTTGTTGAATTAATGCTGCCTAGTACCATCCTACCGAGAGCAAAACTTTGCTGTAGCTAATAAACTCCTTCAAGATTGCTGTTGACAAGTTAAGTTTTAAACAGTTCTCTTTGAAGGTGTAGTTTGAATATTGCAGTTTTTCTGATTTGTTTTTAATATAGAAATTATGCAAATCATATTTAAAACAGTATATTTAATTTGGCAGCAGTTCATGGAATGAATGGAGTACAGGGTTGAGGGCATTGATGATAAGAGTTAAACTCTATTGTGTTGTAGAAATCTATAGCCACCCCCTAGCCAGCCAATGCAGTGATCCTCCTAACAAAATAAACTTTTCTGCCATGGTTTGTTATGACTGTACACTATAGTGCTCACTCTATGTCTTTCCAAATACTCTCAAGACATATAACAATCTATTAAACATGTATGTGGTATTATTGTCCAATACATTGGGTAGTAGTCTGCAAAATATGCTTGCTTCTTGTCCTTTATAAAAATGATGACATTCCTCTCTCATAGTTTTTCCATAATTTCTCTCTTTCCTTGTGATTCCTTAATAACTACTGAGACTGGTACGAAACATTTATCTGCAAGTTTTTTAAAATAAGCCAGAATGCAATTTATCATTTCAAAAGCTTAATGGAAAATAATTTTTTAAGTCAGGGGAATTGTGAGAAAACATACATAAAGAGATGAAAAATAAGTCAGAGGATGTTTATTGAGTAAATAAAATGGCACAATTACAAAATAAATTAAAGTGGGAGAAAATAAATGGGCATTGTCTATGTGTTTTTAATTCTATTCTACAATAAAAATCTTGGGGTAAAGGTGAAGCAGATCTCCTCTGCCAAGAAATGTAAGACGAGCATTTATTACATTAACTAAAGAGACATTTTCATAAGAGCAAGAGGTTATATCTACGTGTATAATTTTTATATGCTATGAGATGTTGGGAATTTGTTTATCTACTTTGTGCATTTATTTCTTTATCTGTATAATGGAGGTAATAATATATCCTCAAGAGTTGCTCTGATGAATAGGTAGGATAATTTATTAAAGCCTCTGGCACAATTACTTTGATTTAATTTAAACCTAAATGCAATAAACCTGAATGGATTATTTCTTAATTTTCATTTGTCTAGTTTTTTATGTAATCAAGTATTTTAGTACCTCAATATTTAAAATATTTGATTAGAATTTTTCTTAGAGCATATATTCCTGACTCACAATATTCTTGAGGGATTATGTTTTTGTTTATAATTTGGGAGATGTACTGGTTTCAGAAATATTTATTCTGACTCCTGCTGACATTTATAACAAAACATGGAAATGATAAATACTCAAGGTGAAGGATACCCTAAATATTCTGACTAGTTGATTACACATTCTATGCATGTAACATAATATTACTAACATGGTTTGGCTTTGTCCCCACCCAAATCTCATCTTGAATTGTAGCTCCCACAATTCCCACATGTTGTGGGAGGGACCTCGTGGGAGACAATTGAATCATGGGGTCGGTTTTCCCCATACTGTTCTTGTGGTAGTGAGTAAGCCTCACGAGATCTGATGATTTTATAAGGAGAAACCCCTTTCACTTGGTTCTCATTCTCTTTTGTCTGCCACCACATAAAATGTGCCTTTTGCCTTCCACCATGATTGTGAGGCATCCCCAGCCATGTGGAACTGTGAGTCGATTAAGCTGCTTTTTCTTTATAAATTACTCAGTCTTGGGTATGTCTTTATCAGCAGCATGAAAACAAACTAATACAATTACATTCCCCAACAAATATGCACAAATATTATGTAAAAACAGAAATATATAACTTTAAAAATTGAAATATAAATTTTTTAAACTATTACAACATTAAAATACTGTTTGAGAAAGCAAGGACATAATTCTTAGTTTCTTGTCAGGTGCTGACCATATTTCTCACACGACCCAAAGCTGCTTTCCTTTCTGGATTATCTCAGAGTGCAAAAGCGTGTCCTTCCTTGGGATGGCAAATATTTTAGGCAAGCAGAATAGAATGATTTTGTGGCATGTGTCTGAGTGGTTCTTGCATTCCCTTAGAAACGTATCTGTTGTCAGGGTCACAGCCAGCTTAGTATTGTTTTCTCAGAAATAAATGGGCAAGGAAAACTCCCGTACCAGGTGTACCTCATAACAGGGATCCAAATTTTTCCTAACTGAGGATGTCTTGTGTTTCAGTTCTTTAACGGTGTGTGTGTGTGTGTGTGTGTGTGTGTTTCTGTTCCTCTGATTAGACTGCCCATCTTGGGGGGACTCAATCATCTTTTTATATTTCCTTTCATCTCTCACAGCTTCTGGAGCAGTGTTTGAACTATATCAATAAAGGTGAAGGACAGAGTTAGTGAATAGCAGGGTGAGAAACCAGTCATTACACAGGACAACTCTCTAGGTTCTGCCACTTACAAAAACTTGGGTCTGTTCATCTCTAAATCAATGAGTGGGTTTTAGCCATGAACCATGCTGTGATGAGAATAGCCCTTATCAGATACAGAGGGTGAGTTGGAGAACAAATGAGATAGTGAAATATCAAGTCTATCTTGTTCTTTTTAAAATAGCTATGATTATCTGGCCAAATAGAATTGTTTTGGGTGAAAATTTACTTCCATAGAAATAGTATCATTTTACTTTCATTAAATCACTTCTATTCTTTTCACCATAAATATTTATTAGGAATTGACCTCAAGAGTTGGCAACATTAAAAAAAGTTAGAATACTTTAGGGATATTTTAGAAGCATAAAATGAAGGCTGTGAACATTCAGCACTTATAACTGGTCCAGTGGAGCCAGATCATGAATAATTCCTCGGGAAAAGTGTTAACTCCCCAAACTAAGTTAGGCCTTAGTAAACCTCTTA